>NC_000001.11:232244727-232396242 GCF_000001405.40 Homo sapiens
TCTAACTTCAGCTTGCTGGACTATAGTGATGACTGCAGCTCCAACAGAACTTGTCCTTTTATTAACTCAGTCTCTGGGTTTTCTAATTTCAACTGCCAAGAGTGAATTCACATTGGTCCTGCCCATCCTTTCTAGCCTGGCCATAAGTTAATTTCTGGATTAGGTCTCTGTTCCTGCTCCAATCAGCTGTGGGCATGTGGCCTGGAATAGCATGTTTTGTACACCCATTCTTTTATTTGACCTCCTAGAGCTTCTCATATTCTTCCTTTTTATAGCTATTTGTATATTCATTTTAACTTCTCTTCTTGACAAAAAGAACCAAAAGTACCGACTGATTCAGCTTTGTTTCCAGCATTTGACACAGTAGCAGGTGTTCCAGGAGGGTTAGTTGAAGAGGTAAACTATCCTTTGGCATATGGAGAGGCCAGATCTACACTAGTGAAGATAAGTGTATAATTTAAGTAGTAATCCAGGGAATTGAAGGATTTATTACTTTGCTTCAATTCTTTGTTTCAGTGAGAGAATAAAATTATTGGTCTTTATTATTTAGATTATTGGGTCAATTTTCAGTTTTACTTGACTGATATCCATTTGGTGCAAGACATCAAGAGTAAGTTTTTTTTTTTTTGGCAATAGTCAGGGTATATCAATAACCCAGAAAAGAGAAGCAACCGCTGGTGTCTCCTAGCCCTCAGGTGGTTCTGGGCTAAGCAGGAAGGAGCACACTTACTTCTGCTAACTACCTCTGGTTCTTTCCATCTAGGCACACAAGAAGACTTCCAGACACTCTTCGCAGTCATGTTGGGAACATGTGATTAGTCAGATGTCTTATTCTGTTTTTTGTTGCTTATAACGGAGTACCTGAAACTGGGTAATTTATAAAGGAAACAAATTTATTTCTTACAGTTCTGGAGGCTGAGAGGTCTAAGGTCGAGGGATTGAATCAGGTGAGAGACTTCTTGCCAGTGGGGACTCTGAAGAGTCCTGAAGCAGCACAGGGCATTGCATGGTGAGAGCACTGTGCTAATGTGCCAGCTCAGGTCTCTCTTCCTCTTCTTATAAAGGCACCAGTCCCACTCCCATGATAACCCATTAATTCATTAACCTATCAAACCATTAATCTATGAATGGGTTAATCCATTCATAAATGCAGATCCCTTATGACCCCATTACTTCTTAAAGGCTCATTCCCTCAATATTGCCACAAAGGGGATTATGTTTTGACATGTATTTTGGAGGGGATATCCAAACCATAGCATCAAGCCAACAAACCCTGAGTAGAAGTGAGGGGAGTCATCTCCCTTCAGAGGAAATTAAAAATGGATCTGAGTATTCTATGCCCCTTCTCTTCCCTACCACATTAGTGGTGGAGGCTACCTGTTGAGATGGTAGAGCTGCAACGTGAAAACATACCCTGGAGAGTCACCTGACATGTGCCTTACTTTGTGTGAGCAAGAAATAGACCCTGGTTGTTCTAGTTTTTGAGATTTGGAGGTTAATTTGTTACCAAGGAATACCATCACCTTTCCTGAGGAATACCAGCTTTCTAAACTATCAACTCATAGCCCTGGCCTGACCCGGACTTGCTCAGAGGCTACCTTCCCCCATTCAGACCCTGTTAGGGTGGGTAGCTCAGTGACTGTCAAGTAGCAGTCATGGTGAGCACAAGCTTTGAATTAGATCCACCCAGATTTGAATCATCTTGGATACTTCGTAGCTACAGACCTTTGGGAGAGTTAAATTCTCTGTACCTCTTTTTTGTTTGTTTGTAGAAAGGAGGTGACACAGTGTCACAACTCATGAGGCAACTCATATGGATAAAATGAGAAAATGCATACTTAGCCTGCCTTCTTTTAGTTTAGAGTCCTTCCATTTCCCTTCATGTCTACTATGTTCCATCTCTCTTAAAGTCACCCAATGCAGGGACCATCCCTGCATTGCATCCCATAGTCTCTACTAGCATAGTTACATGCACCTACTACAATTCTGCTGAATTAAGTTATACTTAACTTAATTAAATTGGAAGATGAGGATGACCTGGAAACCAGCTTTAGCAATGGCCGGTCTTGACAAACCCAGATACTAATTGATGTAGCCACACTTTGGTTCTGCAGTGGCCAGGTGATATGGACATTCCAGAAACATTTAACAATTTATTTGCAAGCTCACCATGACTTTGAAGTGATATATTGTTCTGCATAAGTGTTCATTGAGTGACTCTAGCCTTAGTGAGGGTTCTTTATCCAAAAATCATCCTTTGGGATTAGATATTGGGCCATCATTGAATGTTCTGGTTCTTCTATAGATGATCTTATAAAATTACAAGACTTGAGTCCAAACTTTTATCCCACATAAGCATTTTTAAGATTATGTAGGGTAATAATTAGTTTCTGAATAAATTGTGGGTGTGGGTGTGTTGGCTTCATGAGGCCAGATGTTCCCTAACAGTCACACTTGATACATCTAGACAGTTTCCCCAGAGCATCTCACAATTTTTGCATTCACTCCAGGTAGTTCCAAAAAATGACCTCAGTTCTGCAGATTTCACTTTTAGAAAAAAACTAGACTTCCATATGTTTCCTAAATAGGAATGGAAAAATAACAGGCAAGAAATTACATGTGTGAGAAAAAGTAGTTAAAAGTCTCCTATTAAAAAGCAAAAGTAAATTTCTTGAGGCTTTAATTAAACAAGATATCAAGCAAAAAATCTTAAGTAAACTATAACCTTTAAATATTCATTTTCAAAGGAAATCCAGATGTAGCAATAGATTTGTACAAAATTCCTCCTAGCCATATATTCTGACAAACTTTGTGTCCTCAGAGCCGGTCTCATATTATGTATGGCACTAAAGGTATCTTATACAAGTGCCATAGCTGATCTTTGAAAGAGCACCCTTTTGATATGCATTCAAGATGTAACTATTGTCTTCTACTAGATAGTGGTAAGAACCCAAAGCATTTCTCCTGATTTTTCCCCTAAAGCCTTCAACCACTGGATTTGGAAGAAAGACATTGAAAATATCATTTCCACACAACGTACTGCACTCAAGCAACATTCAAATCCAAGTCCATTGGGATTCCAGTCAGAAGCCATCAGCAGTGGCCTAAATGTGTTGGGACCTTCTCTCTGCTCTGAACAGATGTGGTTAGAACTAACTAGATGTTAGGTCTTTGAGAGTCCAATGACGAGGACACTTGTGGAAAAAAAAGCACTCACATGACGAGAGTCTAATGAAAAATGAAACTCCCTGCCTCTGCCCTCCATTTCATTCATTTCATTTGTGCTTTTATGAGAACTCATGTTTATAGGGAAGCTTCTGTTTGCTTCAGCTCCTGGCAGCTGCTTTTGTTTCTCTTCCTAATAAGTCGGTGTTGGAAAAGAGAGATAGATGGGCATAGAGATCTAACAACTTTTGCAGGCTTGACAGAATTTTTTCCACACAATGGTTTTTTTTGGAAAATGTCCTTAAAAGAGGTCTGTATGGTCTCATCCAGTTCCCTGTTCTTTAACTTTTGTGTGCAGATGAAACAGACACTTGGTCAAATTGCCCCAAAGGGCTCCACAGTCCCTCTGGAACTGTCTGTGATAGAAGGAATACCTTAGCTCCCAGGATGCTCCTCCTACTATGAACTAGAGTCTTTCCTATTCTTGTTTAATTTTTTTAAAAAAATGTTGTCCATAGTGGATGTCAACAGGTGAATGAGCAATTCATTTCTATACTCCCTGTTTTATTCCTCCTCTACCTTTTTCGTCCAGTCCCCAAAGGAGGAATTCAGACCGATGTAAATCAGAAAGCACCACAGACTCCACTGTGAGCTGGAGACAAGGAATAAAATCAGGAAATGCTTAACTCAACAGGCAATCTCTTTGCTAGCCAGGGCCGTCTAATTAAACAGCTGATTGAGTGCATTCACCCACATCTCCTGCAGCAGGCATCATAAAATCTCGGCGCTAAGCTACAGTACTTATTTGAAAGATTTTTCACACAGTATTAAGGAAGAAACAGCTTTTACAAAATCACAGCTACATTGCCTTTCTAGTGCTAATGACCAGGTTCAAATATGAAATATCACTTTCCAGTCCTCTGACCTCTGTCTTTTGAGGACCTAGCGTTCACCTGACCTACACAACTCTCAGCGAACCCCAAGCCAAATTAGACCTGAGCAAGTGAAAATTACAAAACCAGCAATTCTCTTTCCATTGGTCTGTCAGCATGAAGTGCCCACTTTCCCTGCAGTGTTAATAACCAAATATGAAATATTTAAATGGCTGCAAATTGCATCAATTAAAATTGTTTCCATCCCAAGTAAGCACAGATTGCTTAGCTGTTTTGACCCAATGTCTTTTTATGTTTGATATACTTTCTTAATTAAAAAGTGCACAATGATCAAAAAAGCATGGGTAATTGTAGCATTAAGTATTTTTTTAAGTGCAAAATAAAAAAAAAGAAAAGGCTGAGGTTGAACTCTTTTGTAACATATCAACTTCATGCATTACTGCTTCGTTATTTTGAAAACATAACAAACCATGGATATGAGGGGTGCTTTTTGATGCTAAAGGTGACCTAGGTTTCTCTGTCTAGGACATGATGACTGCTTGGTATGACCAGGCCTTAAGGAGAGGAACAAACACGTAAGGATGTCAAGGGAGGACGCTTCAAAATGAGCCCCAAACACAGGGGCTTCCACAGATTGATGTAGTCTTTTAACAAATCAGATCAGACCAGTTTTTCTTCTGTTTAATACCCTCCAATAGCTTCCTATTGCATTTAGAACAAATCCAAGCTGCTGACCACAGGCCATGGGGCCCCACAAGGCCAGACCACATGCTTCCTTCCCTTTCTCCCACTCACCTCTCTCTAGCCACATTGGCTGACTGTTTTCTGGGAAAAAGAGATTATTTATTTTTTTTCAGAGGTAACCTTCACCCTTTCACTTTCCTCTGCTGAAATAATCTTCCTCAGAGAATTTTCAGGACTTCTGGCTCTCTGTCTTCCTTTAGTCTCTGTTCAAATACTCTCTCTTCAGAGAGATTTTCTCTGACCACTTAATCTCCTTCCCTGCCCCCTCTCACTGCTGACACTCTATCCTGTCACCCTGCTGATCTCCTTCATCCCACACAAGGCTCTCGGAAATGACTTCTTTGACGATCATGTTCTTATTCAATACCTGTTTCTTATTCAATACCTGGTGAATCTTCAGAACCTGGAACGGCGCCCTCATAGAGCTGCGCCAAGCACTGCACTGAAATGATTAACTCGGGCTCCACACCCAGGAAGCCTGTAGATGTAGGTTCCTTCTGACTTAAAATGGAAGGGAATTCAGAAGACGCAGGCCCCTCCCAGCCTCTGATCTGCTGACATCCTGCAGCGGGAACCCGTGATGTGATGGCTTCTTTGCTATTGGGAGATAAGAACCAGAGGAGTTTACTTGGATAACTGCATCTGAGGGAAGATGCTTTAATAGGGACAGTCTACCAGTTAATGGTGTGTGTGTGTGTGTGTGTGTATAATAACACACAGCATACAATGTATACTTACATATACGTATATATGTATGCACATGTAAGTATACATTGAGCACATATATTTCCTTACCTGTCCAAATGTTGAATGTTCTATTACAACATCTAATGAAATGGTACCTCTGAGGGAAAATGAAAGATTGTCTTTTCTTACGGGCTGTTTCCATGGTAGCGTAATACCCTTGGGCAGCACCCTAATGATGAGTTATTACTTTTTAGCTAAAACACATTGTAGGGAACCAATTAATAATATAACTTTCACAGCGAAACAACAGGTTAATTTTTCTTTCATTTATTCTCAGATGCAAACATGCACAGACATATGTGTAATAATTTATCCCAAGCTCTGACTCACTCATCTTTGCTCTTTCTTCACTGAGTTAGCAAAAGAAGGGAAAAGGAGGTGATATTGACCCTCTGGGAATCCCTCAGGCAAAAGATGTAGGTGGCATCGCAGATGCTGCCCTGAGAAAGAGTGTTTTAATCATGAAAGTCCCTTTCTAAAACTGCCAGGCCAAGTGTTCTAGCAGCTATATTATGTCAGATGTGATTGTACCCATGGTGCCTCTTGAGCTGCGTATCAGAAATGATAGTACAAAATGGTTTGACTGTTTGCAAGGGCTTCTGACAGAGATGCGTCTGACATAGTGAGAAACCTCTTCCTGGAGGAGTGGCCAAATCTCTGTTTGGCCAACTGGCCTTGGAGGCTTAGGGTGGTATCTTCCTTGTGATCAAGATGCACAGATGGCTCAGATTAGCAGAATCGCCTGCAAGGGAGAGGAGATGACAGGGATTAGTACAGAGTGGAGCCGAGGACAAGGCTGGGACAAGGCAACATCAGGCTGTGCCCCATGGGCTTCCAAGCAGCTAAAAGGCTTATGGATTTCTCTCTTAGGAACTGGGAATGTATTTGGTAGCTTAAGAGGTTAAATCCCTGGATTTCATGCTGTTTCTACATTTCTCAGATGCCTTTGTCCTCTTCCTTCCAAGTCCCATTTCTTCAGGCAGACCTGGATGTAGAGAGGCCATCAAACTTATATATTATCCACAAAGAAAAATAATCAACAGAAATAGTTCACATGTTCATATGTTCATGAGGGGTTAGGAAATCTAAATCCCCCAATGCATACACATCAGATTATCATCTTTGATTTGAGGTAAATATTTTCAAGCCACATGTTTATCAAATATAAAGAAAATATAAGATAATGAACAGTAGGGAAAATACAATAAAGAACTAAAATATCCTGCATCTCCTGCCCTACAGCTGCTGCTACATGGAGATTGAAAAACAAATAAAAGACTGCAGCCGTTGTGAAAGTTACTGACACATTGTATTCTAAAACTGATTATATATTTTGTTCACAGCCCATGGAGAAAGTTGGATAAAGAAAAATAGAATATTCTATTAGTAGATATATCTATATCATAATGTAGTTCACTTCAAAGTTCAAAAGTAAACCAACAGAGAAATTTATCAATAAATAATACTTTAACTGGCCCAAATAATTTTCAAAGATTTGTTAAAATGGAATTGATAATCATTTTTACATAGTTTGATACATACAAAAAAAAAGATGTGCCTACATATTTTCTAGAAATAGCTTCAAGTGACTACCAGGTGAAGAGTAAAAAGAAAACGTAATGACATATCTCGGAGAAGGGAAAAGGTTGATATGTTTATAGAAAAGAGAAGAACGACTGTTCTTGAAAGAAAAGACAAATGTTTATAGAGCATCTCCACATGAATTCATGGAGACTCTTTTATTTCACCCTCAAAGGAACTCCGACAGGCTTCCCTGTGTCCCTCTCACAGATGAGGGGAGTGAGCTCAAAGCACTGAGATAATTTGTCCAAAAGGGAAAATGACTGATTATGCACAGCAGTAGATTCTGAGCCCAGATTCATTAAAGCTAAGGAATTATCACATTTGGTAAGTTCTCACCTAGATGCTTTTACATTTCTACAGAGGGCAGATAGCAACTGAAAATAAATAAATCAAAATAAGAAAATTTAGGTTATAATTTTCTAAATGTCTTTTTTTCATATTGAATTGATATTTATTTCAAGACATGCCATGTCAAAATAAAACAGAGTCCACCCTTGCCTTTAACAATAATACTGCATTAGAAAAGCACTTTACAAATGCCATCCCCTCTTTAAGTATAAGTTACGGGTACGTGGGCTAATGATTACCCGAAAGCATCTCCTTATCCAGATCCTTAATTCAAGTGCTCTCTGAATATTACAAGGTGACAATAAGTGGGAAGTGTAGGAGGAAGAGGAAAAAAAGTGGACCGTTTCTTCCAGTTAAGGGTTTTATTGCAATGAGGGGATAAGGAAGTATGAAGATATTTTTGTTGTCTTTTCATCTTTATACTGTTGATATAGTTTGACTCTGTGTCCCCATCTAAACCTCATCTTGCAGCTCCCATAATTTCCACGTGTTGTGGGAGGGGCCCCGTGAGAGGTGATTGAATCACGGGGCGGGTCTTTCCCGTGCTGTTCTCGTGATAGTGAATGGGTCTTACAAGATCTGATGGTTTTAAAAATGGGAGTCTCGGTGAGCAAGCTCATTTTTTGCCTGCTGCCATCTGCTTGAGATGTGACTTGCTCCTCCTTGCCTTCCGCCATGATTGTGAGGCCTCCCCACCCATGTGGAACTGTTAAGTCCAATAAACCTCTTTCTTTTGTAAATTGCCCAGTCTGGGGTAGGTCTTTAAAAGCAGGGTGAAAACGGACTAATACAACTGTGTGAAGTAATGCTTACAATAGAAATTCAGCAGGCTTTTCCTGAGCTGTGTCTCAGTTTTCTTCCTGAAAGTAACGTATTTACAAATGTGTAAATTAGCTTACACAACAATCTCACAGTAACTGGTAAAGATTAAAAGGGTGCACTCCTACTATATTTGTTTGCAGTGTTTTAAGAAAAATACATATTGCCATGGTGATGAAGCTCTAAATAGATCTAACAAAACATCTGAAAATTGAAAGCAGTTTAAAAAACAGGGCAAAGGAATAAATATCACCAAAGAAAAAAAGATTAATTGTAGGTTAAATGATAAACGAAATCACTAGTCAATCAGCAAAACTGTACAAGTCTAATAAAGAGCAAAACCAACCTAAAAGACCCAACATTTAAAAAAATGCTAAAATGTCATGTAAGAAGGAACTCAAATGGGTTGCAAGGGCAAAATAGCAATAAAATAAATTGGAATTAGAGATGTTTGGTCGTCAAAGATAAAGCAAATAAGTTGTGTCTATAGTGGGCCATAACTTGAAAGGAAGAGTAGAGTTTTTAAGTTTGTTGTTTGGACTATCCAAGACCCAAATGACTTTACTTTGGAGGTGATAAAATATAGGATTTAAGAGCACTGACTTCCGAGTCAATCTTCTGCTTTGTAATGCATGATTAGAAACCTCTCATTCTGATTTTTAGCTTTCTTATCTGTAAAATAGGGAAATTATATTAATTTTTAAGGTTTCTGAGAGTTTAAAAAGTGATACGTATGTTTTAAATTGACTAGACCTAAGATCACTAAGTTTATAGTCACAGGAAAAGATCAAGTGAAATAAGGTATTAAATGTTATGAAGAGTTACTCATTTCCTTAATTAATTGAAACGTTCATTTTTCAGTTTATGGTATTGAGACTTTGCACCAAGTTTTATGTTTCGCATGATCTATAAGAAGTCTTAAGAGCTAAGTTTCTGAACAAACAGAAAAATAACATAATTCTTGACTTCCAGTAATAAACTGAACAAAGGCAGAAGTCAGTAAGAATTAACAAAAAGGCCGGGCGTGGTGGCTCACACCTGTAATCCCAGCACTCTGGGAGGCCAAGGTGGGCGTATCATGAGGTCAGGACTTCGCGACCAGCCTGGCCAACATGATGAAACCCTGTCTGTACTAAAAATACAAAAATTAGCCGGGCGTGGTGGCGCGCCTCTGTAATCCGAGCTACTCAGCGGGCTAAGGCAGGAGAATCGCTTGAACCCAGGAAGCAGAGGCTGCAGCGAGCGGACATTGTGCCACTGCACTCCAGCCTGGGCAACAAGAGCGAAACTCCGTCTCACCAAAAAAACAAACAAACAAACAAAAAAAAAAAAACAACAGAAAATAATAGAGAAAAGAATCAATGAATATAAAAGCTGGTTCTTTAAAAAAGATAAATAAAATTGAAACATTTCTAGCCTAACTGATAAGGAAAAATAACAGAGAGAGACAGAGAAGACACAAATTACCAATATCGGGAAGGAAAGAGAATAACATGACAGCCCATATAACAGACATTAAAATGATAAAATATGAAAAAACTTATGTCAATAAATTTGACAATTTAGATAAGGTAGACAAACTTTATAAAAGACACAAACTACCAACGCTCATTCAAGAAGAAATAGATAGCCTGAATATCCCTACGCCTATTAAAGAAACTGAATTATGAGTTAAAACCTCCCCACAAACAAAACGCCAGACCCAGATGGCTTCACTGGCAAATTCTACCAAACATTTAAAAAGAAGAGATACCAATAGCACAAGTTATTTCAGAAAATTGAAGAGGAAAAAACACTAACTCATTTTGTGAGGCTAGAATTATCCTTTTACCAAATCCTGACAAAATAATGACAGGAAAATAAACTGTAGACAAATGTCTACCACAAACACAGATACAAAAAATTGTAACAAAATTTTAGCAAGTTGAATACACTTATTTGTAAAAAGATAATGCATCATGACAAATTGGATTTTCCCTTTGAGTTGCTAGGCTGATTCAACATTCCAACACCAACCTCCTTTGGATTAATGTTTAAATCATATACCTTTTTCATCCTTCCATTTTTTAAACTTTCAGTGTCTTAATATTTCAGTTGTGCCTCTTATAAGCAGTGTAGAGTAAGGTTTTATGTCTTCATCCAGTCTATTACTACTAATAAAAGATTATAGATTTTGAAATATCTTCAGTTCTGGACATTTTTGGTTTATATATTTTGAAACTGTGTTGTTAGCCGCAATATATTTAGAATTGATGTTTATGTGTTTGTTGAACACTTTTATTATAAAATCATCTGTCTCATAATTATTTCCACTTTAACAACTTATTTGTCAGATAAATTTGACTACATAAAAATTAAAAACAGTTCATCAAATAACACCATTAAGGAAATTTTAAACATTAAGCCATAAGTGGGAAGATAGACGCAATACATACATCTGAAAAGAGCTATGTCCCAGAGTATGCAAAAAACATACAAATCAATAAGAAAAATATCAGACACCCAATAGCAAAATGGGCAGGACATTTGAACTGGCACTTCAAAAAACGATATTCTAATGACCACTAAACATGAAAAGGGGCTCAACCTCATTAGAATTCAGGGATATTTAAACCATGATGAGTAACCATCACACTTACTAGAAGGGCCAAAATTTAAATGTCTGAAAATATTCAGAATTGGCAAGGATATGGAGCAATGGGTCCTCTTATATAAACCTGGGTGCATATTGGTACATATTGGTATATATTGGCACAGCCATTTTAGTAAATGACATTTTACACTACATTTTATTATACATGTACACTTTATTCCAGCAGTTTCACTGCTAAATATACCCTTGTGAGAAATGTGTACACATGTACACCAAAAATATGTATAAAAATATTCATAACAGCACAATGTATAATCACTAAAAACTGGAAGCAACGTCAATATCTATTAACAGTAGAATTGATAAATAAATTCAGATACATTCGTAGAACAGAATACTAAACAGCAACTAAAATGGATGAATCATTTCATGCAACAATTTGGATGAATATTACAAATATGTTGAGCAAAAGAAGTTGGAAAATGCATACCATATGATTCCATTTATACCAAGTTCGAAGACAGACAAGGAATCTATTGTTTTAGAGGTCAGGAGAGGTAGGGGATATAGGGTGATTTGGGAAGGGGAGCAGGAGCTCTGTGGGGTTCAGTAATGTTCACTCTATTGATTTGGGAAGTGGTTACAGAGGTGTGTTTACTTTGTAATAATTCATCAATCTCTGAATTTATGACTTGTAAACTTTTCTATATGTATGTTGTACCTCAATTTAAAAGTTAATAAAAGTTCTTCAGATGCAAATAAAACTAAATTTATTTTTATTTCATTTAAAAAATTTTTTTATCAAGAAAAAATAAAACTAAATTTCTTCCTGAATTTCTTGACACTGAAGTCACAAAATAGATGATATTGAATTATGTCAAACTTATTTTCCAATGCAAAGAAAAATCCAGCTACTTTCAGTGGACCGTGTTCTGCGAGCCTTACTCCCAGGTAGAGTATGCCTCCATTTAGAGAAAATTTCTATAATGCTTCTGTGTCAGTTCCACGGGGAAAAGATTGCACCTTATTGTTTCACCGTTGTGTGTCTAGTACCTAGACTAATTTCTAAACCAAATTAGGTGCTCAACAACATTTGTTGAATGATTAAAGGAGTTAAAGAGAAAGAAAACTTTGTCACTTGAAGTAGTTATAAAGGTAGGCCTGGGCTCCACTATTATTGAAAGGAGGCAAGGAAATGGTTCAAAGTAGGGAAATGTCTGCAGTGTGAACACTGGTTTGTGAATATTTCTCTTGTTATAAAAACATATGCTGTGAAAAGAAGCTCAGGAAATTGCAAGAGAAGAGTCTTCACTGTTGTCTTTTCCTACCAGCCTGATAAGTCACGAATACATCACAGTCGCCTACTTGAAGCCCACCTATGCTTTGAGTGAGTTACATGCACCCACTGGAAGTGATTTTAAATGACCTTTGTCAGAGAGGTTGCAAACAGGGGCATGTTTCTTCCAAAGAGCACACTAGTTAGCTTTCATCAGTGTCGGAATTTATATATTGAAAGTAATAACTTAACAAATATTCTGTAATTGAGCCTTTGCCTTTCCATGAATTTTTATCACTTTAGAGTGACTCATACGTGGACAGGTAGAAAATCCATGTGTGACACAGAACCTAAGCTGTGGAGAATTAGTCTCAGCACAAATTGTCTTTACCAGGCATTTGGCATTTAGTCTCACATTGCCTTGAATTGTTGTTTGCTCTTTTCATAAAAACAGTTTCCCATCTAAACTGTAAGCTCATTTCAATCTGGAGCTGTGAGTGTTTATTCTCAGATGTCTCCCCTGGACACTGAGCCATTAAGAAACATGAACTGACCTGAGCCAAGTACCAACCGTGTGGGCTGAGCTGTTTGGATCGCAGCTGACCACCCTCTGGCAGCCCACATATTCCCAAGAGTCAAGGGCGTTAGCCAAGGCCCATCCAGGAAGAGAATCTATGTTAAGTATTTAAAACAAATAATTTAATTCGGGGAATTGGTAACACAGGTGATGGAGGAGTTGGAAAGCCAACAGAGATGGGGTTCCTCAGGTATTAGCCACCTCAGGAAGCCACGGCCACTCCTAGGCTAGAAAAACAAAAGGAGGAGGCAGTGTTACTGGAGCCCAGGAGTCAAGGTCACCAAACATGAGCTGGGTCCATGTGGGCTGGTTCACCAAGAGCCAGAACCACAGGAGAGGCAGCTGCTGGCAGAAAAGCTACCCAAGGCAGAGTGGGAGGGAGCGAAATCCATGGCATCTCCCTTCCCTCACCCTCCAAATTCTCCCCACCGCCTCCCACTTATCAGGCCCAGCTGGAAGGTCTAGGAATAGTTGTGAGGGCAAGGCAGACCCACAACGGGCATACCAAGTCCTTATACCGTTTCCTTAGCCCTTCTCCCCATTCCCTTGTTGCAAAGATGCATGTTCTCTGATGTAGTTGAATTCAGCTGTGGATCATCTGCTCTACCCTCTGCAACCCCATCCTCATAGCAACCCTCCTAGGCATGTAGGAGGTGCCTGGCCTTTCCAAGGAGCAGCAAGGTGGCCAGGGTGGTGGAGCCTAGTGAGTGAGGGGGCTGGGGAAGCAGTGGAGGTCAGAGAAAAAGGGAGCAGAGCATATCCTGCAAGGCCTTTGGCTTTCCTCTGAGTGAGTGAGTAGGGGAGGCCTCTGAGGGTTTTCAGCAGAGGAATAATGGGATCTGACATTTTCATTACAATAATTCTGGCTGCTGAGTTGAGAAGCCACTGTGGTGAGGGGAGGGAGAAGGGTAGATTCAGGGAGACCAGATAGGATCATTATGATGATAATTCAGACAAAATGGTTCAGGCCAATGTTGGTGAGGAGCCAGAGTTGAGCTCTAGGGTCCCTCAACTTTAGGCATCAGGGAGATGAAGAGGGATAATGAAGCCCACTGAAGACGCGGCCAAGGAGCAGGGGTAAGGAACAGGAGGGTGGTGTCTTAAAAGCCAACTGAGGAAAGTGTAGCAAAGAAGAGGGAGTGGTCACCCCATCAGTCCCATCACCACCGATGGCCAAGTGGGAGGAAGACTGAGAAGGATGGATTTATCTGCCTGCAGTTTTGGTGACTTCCATGGGGCCAGTGTTGGCAGCATGGTGGGGTGATGGCTGATTGCAGTGGGTTGAGACACAGGGGCTTGAAACGAGCTGGAGACAAGGAGAGGCTTCCCTTTCCAGGTGTTTGGCTGCAGAGGGGAGTAGGGGCATGGTATGTGGCTGATCAGGGAACTTAGTTTGGTTTATTACTGATTTTGAATGTGAGAACTAAGAGCATGTTTCTATACTAAAAATAAAAGTGCACTAGAAAGGGGAAGACATGAATTAGGATACATCCTAAAATTAGAATTTTGGTGAAGTGATGTCCTTGAAAGGTTAAGAAAGGATGCAATTTTATTATATTTTTATTTTATTTTTAAATAAAATTGTATTTCTTTAAAGTGTACAACATGTTTATGTATACGTAATAAAGAACATGATGTGTATATATATACATGTATATAGGAATGATTACTCATATCAAGCTAGTTAATAATCATCTCACTGTTACCTGTGTGGGGCGGGGGGATGGGGGGCGGTGCCCAGTGAGAGCACTTAAAAATCTACTCTCTTTGCAAATCTGCAGTATACAATACAGTATTAGTAACTATAGTCTTCCTGCCACACATTAGATTTCTAGAATTACTCATCCTACATAACTGCAACTTTGTACCCCTGAACTAACATCTCTACCTTTCTCCCACCTCCCACCCCTGGTAACCATGCCCTGTGTAGTCAGCTTTTTTAGATTCCACACATCAATGAGATCATGCAGTATTTTACATTTCTGTGCCTGGCTCAGTCCACTTGGCATAACATCCTTCAGGTTGAAGGACAGAGTTTCAGCATTACCACCCTTTTGTGGCACCTGGGACTTTCCCAGCACTAAGGGTCCTATGTCCCAGGAAACCATCAGTCCTGGGCAACCAGGATGGTTAGTCACCTGAAGTGAAGTAAGTAGGAAGCAAGAACAGCCATCAATGAGATTGGGTAAGGCTGCCGCGTCCGTCCCTGTAATCCCAGCTACTTTGGAGTTTGAGGCAGGAGGATCACTTAAGCCCAGGCGCTTGAGACCAGCCTGGGCAACAGCAAGACACCCATCTCAAAGGAAAAAAAATGATTGGGGAAGGAGGTGCTGGGGATTTTTTTGGTAGCAAAGTGAACCTGGGGAGGCACCTCCAACTGGGCCACACAAGTTACCCAATCCCAAGAGAGCACGAGAGAATGGAGAGAAGTGGTCTTTTCCTTATGGTTTTTAAGCTTCTGATCAAAACAATCTGTCGTGAGAGAAAATCTTTAGCAACAAAGGCTTTGAGCTCATGAGGGAAAAACCCCAACTAATGCCCAAAAAGAAATAAAATAGGAGTCTTAGCTGATAGCCAGTGAAAAGAGAAAAATTCAAAATATTATCCACATCACCTACCCTATCTCTGCAGTTAATGGAAAATCACATCGTCTGTGAGCTTTTTGGAAAGAGGTTCACTAGATAAGACCGTCTGAAAAAAATCTGCCATAGAGAACTATTGACCATACCATTTGTTTTTCTTCTATTCTCTGGCTGTGATTGTAAACTTTGCTTGCTTGATAAGAACCTTTCATGTGAAGGAGCTATAGATAATATCCTCCTAGGTCCCGGGCTTATGCTCAAATGATAAATCATGTCAAGATAAGGAAATCATTTGGTTCTTTAAAGTTGAAAAGAAGATGTGATTAAAAATGTTATTTTGTGGCTATATGGGATGGTTTCCTATAATCAGTTACCCAAAATAAACCATATTATTTAGCGACTGTCTGCAGAAAGACAACCTAACAGATGTTTAAGACAATGAAAGAAAGCTGAAAATATCTCAAATATAGAAGTGCTTTTTTTTTAAAAAAATATGTGTATTGATTTTGGAGTGAGGGAGTGAGAGACATATGTTTATATATTTCTCGTTCCCTCACTAGCCTGATATTGCTTTTATGGGACAGGTTTTTTTTTCCTACATAAGATAGAAACTGATGCTGTGAACACTTCAAGTCTAGGAGAAAAAAATGTGAGTTGAAGCTATGTATGATCAGGATTTTGAACTGTAAGATATGTGGCTTGTGTGGAAATCTCTGAAGTCTATGAGATCACAAAGTGGAAGTCACAGGTAAACTGTGTCTGAGGAAGGTGCAGAGAAGGAAAGGAGAAAAAACTGCGCACGTTTGGAGTCACAGGTATTTTTGTTGCAATTTCACCATAGAATATAAGGCAGGGGGTTTCTTTTATGGATGAGAGCAGTAATCCACAAATATGACACCTTTTTTCCCACCCTCCCCCAGCCTGCTTACCCAACTCACTCACACTTCCTGTCTACCCCAAATAACCCGTACTTCTTGTCTATCCAAGACATCCAGTGCCTTAGGGCTCAGGGCTGAGACAGAGCGCGTGCCAACTGCACCTGCGCGGGGACTGAGTTCTCGGAGAAGGGACCCAATAGGTAAATGACTCCAGAAGGTCTTCTCCCAGCAGCCAGAATAAGACAGGAAATGAAGCCGCTTTATTGACAAGGTAAGGGAGCCAAGGCTGGGCCAGGTCTAGAATCGGGAAATGGGGGCATTTTCTACCGAGCAGACAGCCTTTGCTTCTCCCTCACAGCCAGGTGTCATATTTGTGGATTACTGCTCTCATTACTACTTCACTCACGAGAATCAGGCAGTTGGCAGCTGAGAGTCCTGGCCAGGGTTTCTCCCAGTTTTCCTCAAAAGCACCAGGGAGGATCAAGGGTCTGGGGTAGACCTGCTTTAGAAGCCTCAGGTGCGAGCCCTGAATTCGTGTGTCCTGAGCTGAGGACAAGTTTTTTGGTTCACTAGAGAGCATTCTCTGGTGGTGACTGAAGAATTCTCTGTCTGTGTTCTTTCCTGGTTTATTCTCCTGATATAAAATCCCAGGCTGTGCTAACAGCTTCACAAGGGGGGAGTTTCTGAAGAGCCCCAGATAGCACATTAAATAGGAATCTGTTGTGTGCTGGTCCCTGTTCTAGTCCTGCACATGAAGCAACTCCCAGCTTTGGGGCAGCAGGGAACATGTACACACTTACCTGTGGCCACAGAGGGTGGGCAGTGGATGCTAAGAGTGGCCAGCCACTCATGCAGGTAGGAGGCCAAGGCAGAAGGTCCTGGTTCTGAACCTGGAAGGAAGCAAATTCTAAGCATGAGAGAGGGGAAGCCAGCAGGGGAGGCACCAGGGCTTCCCCTCCTCCCGCTGAAGGGTTTTGAGTCCTATATTTTGCGGAGCGTCTTTCTCTCCTGGCTTTTCTGCTCCCTCCCTTCTCTCCCCTCACCGGCTTTTTACCCCTATCTAATTCTGAGCCCCATGGCAGACAAGAGGATCTGCAAGTGTGCGGGAGAGTGTGCATATTGGTGAGATGTGGGCATTGGTGAGATGTGGGCATTTGGAAGGAGAAGAACCTTCAGAATTATTTGGGGGAAAGGAAGGAGGTTTCCATTCTGGGTTCTTTCTTTACTTTTCTTTTTTTAGAGACAAGGTCTTGCTCTATCACCAAGGCTGGAGTGCGGTGGCACTATCATGCCTCACTGTTACCTCCCATTTCTGGGTTCAAGTGAGCCTCCTACCTCAGCCTCCTGAGTAGCTGGAACTAGAGGTACATGCCACCATGTCTGGATAATTTTTAATTTTTTTGTAGCTATATGCTGGTGCCACTGTCCTTTGTCTGCTACCCCAAAGCTATGCCTGGTTCATTGTGACAACATTGTAGCACAGGAAGAAAAAACAATATATATATGATATATATATATACATATATGATATATATATTATTATATATTATGTTATATTATGTTGTTATATATATTATATTATGTTATTAGATTATATTATGTTGTTATATTATATAATAATATTATATTATATATTATATATTATATTATATAATATATAATAATATTATATAATTATATATTACATTATATAATATATAATAATATTATATAATTATATATTACATTATATAATATATAATAATATTATATAATAATATATAATTATATAATATATAATAATATTATATAATATTATATAATATTATATAATATATAAATATATAATAATATATATTATATTATATAATAGTATATAATATTATATAATATATATTATTATATTATATAATATAAAATATTATATAATACATATTACTATCCAGTAAAGGGGCCTGAGTATAAAAGGAAGAAGCTTCATCAGGAGGCTCCGGAGGCTCTACACTGATGCCTATTTAGTCTGATTTCCAGTGATTTAGGTCAAACACATTTTGCAGAAATGGAGGAAAAAATGGTATGATGAGGGAAAGAAGTGCTCACCTGCCAGCATTCCCGCCCACCCACTGCACCCACCAACCTTGGCTTTCCTGGAGGCAGTGAATGTTACCCACAGCACGGAGGTCACCAAGGGGCTAGGCAAGCAAATGGGATTTTTAATATGAGCACTTCTTGCCTCAGCTCTGCTGTTCAGCATACTCATGAATGCTCAGCCAGTGCAGTTCTGCCTCTCCATGCGCTTATGTGCATATATATATATATACATATTTTACCATCCAGTAAAGGGTCCTGAGTATAAAAGGAAGGAGCTTCATCAGAAGGCTCTGGAGGCTCTACACTGATAGCTGTTTAGTCTGATTTCCAGTGATTTAGATCAAGCACATTTTTGCAGAAATGAAGAAAAAAAATGGGTAGAGAAATGTTTGATTTACAAGGCCCTTTCCCATGCCTTGTAAAATTCACCTAGCCTATGTTCCATTCTCTTGGGAGTGATGCCTGCTCCCCAGATTAATTCCATTAATGTCTGATTTCCAGTGATTGAAAAAATTTCCTGAATTCAGTTTGAGATTAGCCTGTTGCCCAGGCTAATCTCAAACTAATGGCTTCAAGCAATCCTACTGCATCAACCTCCCAAAGTGCTAGAATTACAGGCATGAGCCACCGCGCCCATCTGGTAACTTTATTCTTTAATCACCAGTACACACCTCGCCCAAGGGTCATTGTCCTCTCTCCTTCCATGAACTTAAGTACCTTTGCATCTCCCTTATTTATTGCTCTGCCTGACAGATAGGGGTGTTTGGTGAAGATAGGCTTGATGAATGAATGAATGCCCAAATGAAGAAGACAGGCTGAGCTTCCAAAAAATTGTTCTTATCCCACCCTGCCTCTAGCTAAGGAGCATCGAAATGGGGGCTGTCTGTCCAGACCAGGCTGAAGAATCATCTTCTCCTTTCCCGTTGAAGCCATAGGAAAGCCGCTGTTCTGGTCACCAATGCCAAGAAGGACCATAAAGCTCAGGGCCTGACCACAGGGCAGCCAGTCCAGTTCTGCCTCTCCATGTGCTTATGGAGTCACAGGTTTGCCCCTCCTCATCCTTCCTAAAGGGAATAACACAGCACGAATACTCTCATGTTGCCAGCCCTCAGAACACAGAATTCTCAGGGCCAAGAAAGTGAATGGAAGGTTTGAAAACATACTCTGGTCACCATATTAGACACAGGAAACCAAGATACATAAAGGCTGACAGTGCTTACCAGCCACAGCTTCTCTCCTGGCAAATGCTGGATGAAGAAAATCCACTGAAGAGTTATTTACACTATGCTCTAGATCCTACATGGTCATTAAAGGGAAGCACAGAACCTCCCCACTCAGAGATGGCCGGTGCTACATTTCTTTACCCATTTTTTCTCCATCTCTGCAGAAAGGTGTTTGACCTAAATCACTGGAAATCAGGCTAAATAGGTATCAGTGTGAATACCCCCTCCTGATGAAGCTCCTTCCTTTTATACCCCCTCTTCTTCTGGATGGTAAAAACAAGATTTCTTCTTCCTGGGCTCCATTGTTGTCAAAATGAGCCAAGCATAAAGCTAAGTTCTAGGAGGCTTTCAGGCTCCAATTCCCAGGGGACTGTGTCTCCTTCCCCTGTGTTCCAGGAGCCCATCTCAGTACCAAGGATGTGCTCAAGGACAAACAAGTGTTCTTTTAGTGCTGTCTCTGCCACCCCATTCCTTCCATTGGCCTGGCCCCCCCTGCTTCAGGGGCTCTGCCTTCCTCTGGGTCTTTTTCCATGCCTTGTAAAATTCACCTAGGCTATGTTCCATTCTCTTGGGAGTGATGCCTGCTCCCCAGATTAATTCCATAGACTAAACTGAGGTTAATTGTTTAATGCTTAGCTCCTGCTGGAAATATTGGCATTTTAATAGGGAGTCGTTGAAGGACTGGAGAGCTGCATTTTAGAAAAATCGATCTAGAAATTATGTAGAGTAAGGAATGGAGAGAGAAGAGTTAGAAAAGAGGAAAAAGAGTTAGCATACTACATAAAACTAAGTACGAAATTATGAGGGTATCGGCTGGCATGACTGTCGTGGACTGGCAAATATTTGCCATTTTTCGGATGCCAGACTCTTTAACAGTTTTCCTGTGTTTGGGAAACATTAGAATGAAGCTTTCTGTAGGTAAAAGCTAGAACTTTGATAAGAATGAACTCCTTCTCAGCCTTCTTGTCACCTAATGTGAAGCCACAAGACTTAAACTTGGCTCATCAGTTACTCACTTAAGAGAGGAAGCAGACGCTGAAAAGATGTCATTTTCTGGCAAAAGAGGTAGAATATGGCAGAGAGATACCATGATTTCAGAGGCCACGGGGCCTCCAGGCTGTGAGAACTCCCTGCTTGAATCTCTGGAGATTCTGAGTTTCCTAATATTTCTTTAATAGATAAGCTTTCTTTCTGCTTTGCTTTCTACCTAGAATGGGTTTCATTCTGGCAACCTTGATTAACACAAGAGGATATTGAAAGGATTTGAAGAAAGTTATCCCGCTGATTCCTTAACAAGATGGTAAGCACTTAAAAGATCCAATTTCATCTTCTTTACTACCCTGGCAGTGCTTAGACTATATACAGGCATTTCATAAGCAATGAAGATGATGCACACTGACTGAAAATATTTTCAAAGTTGTAAAGGACCCTCTGATTCTTAAAGCCAGGTTGGGCACAACTCATGCAAGCATTCAGTGGCCTCCAGAGCTCTCAGCCCAGCTGGGTGTCCTTTAGGGTAAGTAATCATACTTCCTGGAAGCCCACTTTCTCCATCTGTGAAGTGGAGGCCACAGGGAATATCTAATAAGTATCTAGTGATGAAATTCATGGGCGCTTGGAAAGGGCACTGTTTCAGACTGAGCAAGGCTCAGGAAGCCAGGGAGGCATAATCACTCCCACAGAAATTGCATTTGTCTCTAAGGTTTGATCTGCCTGTATGAATGAGAGAAAGAATTTAGCGTGAGGGATATTTAAAATTGGATCCTTTGTTTGCCTGAATAAATGCCTCATGCATTTTTGAGTTTGATTTCCTGTTTTGTTTATCTCCAGAAGAAAAGAAAATAAGGCAGAAAATTCTCCAGCAGAGCTGAGGCAAGAAGTGCTCATATTTAAAATCCCATTTGCTTGCCTAGCCCCTTGGTGACCTCTGTGCTGTGGGTAACATTCACTGCCTCCAGGAAAGCCGAGGTCGGTGGGTGCAGTGGGTAGGCGGGAATGCTGGTGGGTGAGCACCTCTTTCCCTCATCATCTACCATCCATCAGAGGCCTGTCTCCCCTGATTCTTATCTGACACTCATTTGCACTGCTTGGAGAGAAGGTGCAAGGAACTAGGAGAAGATGCTCAAAAAAACACGGATCAGGAAGATGACTGCAGCATTGGAGAAACCAGGCATTGATTTTGTGGACCTCTGGGGAAGAGCTCTTGGGTGCTCTTACAAGGATGACGAGGGCTGTGTTGATCTTGGGAGATGCCACTAAGGGGTTAGGGGTCAAAAGAATTAAATTGCAGAGGCTTAGGTGTCAAAATAAAGAGGAACCAAGAAACAAAATCATGCAGAGCTTTCCAAACTACACTCTTAGCATTTAGTCTTAGCCTTCCGTTAAAACAGCTAAGACAAGGCACATACCACTGCATTATAAACCTGTTGTAGCAGTCATGACCATTTCACGGAGTAATACCAACTTGCCAAAAGGATTGACTCAGAGTTAAATAGTGAAGGGAGGGAAGTGGCTATCTTTTGACTCTATAACATATTCGTCTTAATATCATGATGTTATCTTTGAAATTCTTAAATTTCAATAATATCATTATAGTGACAATTTTATGAGTTGGGTGTTGGATTCTCACAATCACTGAAAGGTTTAGTTGGGTGACTTTAGCTCTTTTTGGCAGCAGTTTAACAATAGTAACTATGTCGCTTTACTATTTAAGATATTTCCTGAACACTAGCTCACTTCTTAACAACTTGGTGAGATTGTTTTTCTGACTTTCCCACTTTACAGCTGAGGAAACTGAGGCTCAGGGAAAGAGAACTGGCACTTGCTTTTGACCCCAAATCCTGGCTCTCCTGGCTGCTCTGTGAAATCCTAAATCATGGTAACCCTGGATACCACCATACCAGCTTTGGTTGCATGATAGAATTAAGGCCAATAGCATCTATGCTGCAGTGAAGGCATGGATGGGAAACTCGCAGTGAAGGAGAGTGTAATTCATTGAAATGACAAATACATTGCATCTGTGCTATAAACTATGACTGAAATGCTTCCTGCTCTCCTTAAGGAAGTGAATAAGGTAAGCAAAGCTCTGTTTACCACATGGGAAAGCACCTTCACAAAAACCCAGGCCTGGACTCAGCCCCTGGTTCTGTGCACAGTGCTAAACCCAACGGGATTTCCAGTGACTCCTAGATGAAGCAGACATTATTTCGCTCTACAGTCTCTTCCCTATGCTCACAAACCAGCCTCTAGGAACTTATCCCCCACTAGCCAGTTCACATTTTTCATATGAACTCTGAGGGATATTTTTAAAAATCGACTGAGGCAGACTGGGTTCCCATAAGAAAAATGGCTCATGGTGGAGATCCTGTTTGGTCCCCAGGTCCTGCAGCATCAGCACTAATGGGACTTTGATCTGGAGTGCGTGTCTTCACCCTCTTTGCTGTTTTTATTGACACTGTGCAGTAAGAGCAGTGCAATTTCCTCCCATTTCAGCTCTGGGTTTTCTGAGACAGAACTGGAGGGAAATTGAGCTGTGACTGATGGAAAATACAATGGCTTTGAGTCAGGATGTGTCAGGTAGAGCTCCCTATGGTAAATCTAGCCTAAATCTGTCCAAACAGGCTTGCTCTTATATTGCCACTTGGGGTTGATTTTTCTTTAAATAAAAAGTACAAAATTTGCATAGAACTCCTTTTCTCTCCCTTTCCTCTCTTCTCCTCTCCTCCTTTCCTTTCATTGCCTTCTTTATTTCTTTCTCCCTTTCATTCTTTCTCTTTGCCTTTCTGCCTTTTTATCTTCCCTTCTCTCTTATGCTCTTTCTCTCTCTTCCTCCTTCCTTCTATCCTTCCTTCCTTCCTCTCCCCTCTCTCATGCCTTCCTTTCTTTGATCACATTGGCTAATATATAAAAGTTATGTTAAAGATTAATTCCAAGGTCAGTTTTTATTTTATTTACTTATTTATTTATGTAAAGAAATGGGGTCTCCCTGTGTTGCCCAGGCTGGTCTTGAACTCCAAGACTCCAGTGATCCTCCCACCCTGGCCTCCCCAACTGCTAGGATTACAGGCATGAGCTACCACACCCAGCCCCAAGGTCAGCTTTTAGATCTGTTCTCAAAGCTTTCCTAAAACTGAGACAGTGGTTCCTTACATTAATGAATTGCGTAATTAAGCCCCTCTGTCTGCAGGAATCGTGAGACTACTCCGACAGCTAGACGTTGCTTTTGGCTGAGGTGGAGGCAGAAAGAACAGCACAGTGCCAGCCCCACAAGCAGGAGCTGCTAAGGCAGGGACAAACTTGGAGAAGGTGCTGCCAAGCCTTGTGGGGAGGCCCAGGACACATTCTCCCCTGGGTACCATTGGAGGACTTCTTGTAAATCTCCAGGTTATGGTAGATGAGGATGCCAGGTGCCAACTCTCAGATGAACCAGCAGATTGGGGCTGTAGGTCAGAGATTTTGCTAAAGGTTAATGAAATCTCCTTGGGATGGTGGCAGTTGGAGGAATGGACTCACCTTTTCCCATGAGCAGGATGTTTATCATACTAAACACCAACGACTAACTGTTATGTAAACCTTCTGTGAGGGGATCCTGTTTAGACTTTGTTCAACAGGATTTATTTCTGACTCATTAGTGGAAAGACTTATGTTTGTTTTTGTTTTTTTTCACCTAAAATTACTATCATTGTATAATTTACAATATACACAGGCTTTTTCTTTTATTTTGTCTTAATAAATCTTCAAAATAATCCTGTGAAATAGGTACCATCTCCATTTTTCCATATCCCACACAATCTAGACATTTTAAAAAATCAATCACAGTAATAGTGACAAGTCAGATTTTCCTAGTTATGCCTCCATTCACTACTTCAGGACCTCCAGCATTTTCCTGATGCTACTTCATGACTCAGAAACGACTTCCAAACCCAGCACCTCAGTCACAGGGTGGAGATGGGGAATTGGCATTTATATTCCATTATTCCATTCCACCTTATTTTCTTGGTGACTTCTTGTGTGACAGGGCTGGAAAGATTTTTTTAAATGCCTTTTAAGACTGTCTTGCAGCTAGGGTGCTGGATGGTTTGTTTATGACGAACTTGCATGATTTGGAAGATGGAAGTGTGGCAGGGGCTACTGCCTGTGGCTTTAGCTGCAGCTCCTGGAGCTACTGTCCTGGAGATGATGCTGGGCTGCCTGACTCAGCATCCAGGGTCCAGCCACTAGCTTCAGTGGTGCTGAGAAGCAAGTGTGGTTCTGTGCCTGCCGGATGTGTGTTCTTGAGCTCCACCACTCGGGAGCTGCTTAGCAGAGGTAGACTGTTCTCCAGTGGGCCAGTTTATTGCTGTCCTGAGAGTTATCCTACTCACAGGCTCTCCCAAAGATTCTGCAAATTCCTAATTCCTGTTATTGAATCCTTTTTTTGCTGAAAGTAGCTAGAATATTTTCAGTTTCATGCACCTGAACCCTGGTGGATACATGTCCACCCCTCCCAGTGCTGCTGGGTCTGGGAGTCCCCACAAGTGTGTCCTGTCTGCCTATAGTCACAGCCATCTCACCTCCAGGTGACAGTGGTCATACCCACCAAACTTTCTTCTGCCCCAGGCCCTTATAGTGACCCCTACTGCTAAGACTTCTCGTGCCCATGAAGACTCCTGCACTTCCACTGCTGTTGGAAGCTGAAGGCCATCAGAAGCCCGCTGTCAAAGGTATGCCCAGCTGAAGCTCCTCCACAGGGAGCATCCATCCTCTGGCACCCTCAATGTGGGAGCGAGGCAGTCATCTCCGGTAAAATGGGGGAGAACCTCTACCCCACTGCAGGATTGCTTTGCTACCTTTATGACTTTCAGACACTATTATTATTGCACAAATATGCTCTTCAGCTTGACTTGGAGCTTCCTGCTCTCTGGTTCTTGACCCAACATTTACAAATTAAATAACAGTATTTAATTAATACTATGTAGTCTAATAAATTATTAGTTAATAATTAATATGAATTAACAATTAATTAAATAAAAAGTATTTGTTGAGGGCCTAATGTAGGACATGCATGGGATTACACCTGAAATTATCTGTTGACTCTGGCAACTGAGTCATATTTGTGTTCCTAGTGCTCTCTTTCCATGGAAGGAGTCCCCTCCAGGCATGAATAGACCCCTCACCTGTCACAAAAATACTCTGCAGAGCTGTCCAGCAAGTCTGCCAGCCATGTCTGCAACCTGAGGGAATAAACTAACACTACCTAAGCTTCAGCTAGGAGGAGGGCATGGACGATGCGAGGTGACTGGGGAAGATGTCTGTGATGGATCCCTGGTTCTTACCAGAGTGACTTCCCCAAGGTCAACATCACTCATCCACGCTTTCATCAAGTAGATCCCAAGAAGGAAGGTACAGCCAAGGAAGGGATACTCTAGACAGCTTAACTTAGGAAGCTCTTGCTTTGCTGAGTCACTTGAATATTGCACCTGCAAACCCTTCTTTTACATGGCTTTTTTGGGGATTCCATTCCTTATTTATTCCATCACTAGATGAAAAAAATACCCCCATAGAAAAGCATGTTTCCTTGAAAGGTTTTCAAGTTCCTCAGTATTGTAGTTAGAATATTAGGTCTGATTTACCCTTTGAAAACTTCCTCTTTGATACAGTATTTTAGCTGTAATTATTAGGACAAAAGATCAGAGAACCATAAAAGAAAAATGACATCTTAAATATTTACTTAAATGGACTTCAATTTAAATGGACTTAAATTGTTTACAGAGCTCATGCTACATTCTGCTATATAGAAAATAGCAAGAAAAAAAGTGAAAGGAAAACTTTCCAAAAATTTTGTTTGGAAAAGTTTTCTTCAGAAACATATCCAAGGATCTCTTTATGGTAGAAAAGAGAAAGGTCTTTGGAACTTTTGAGGGGGAAATGCTGTTTTTAATAAAAAAGCAATTCAAGGAATATTTATTTATTTGCTCAGTTTCAAAAGGTGTCCTTTAGTGTTGAGACCCCAGGAAGGCCAATGTCATGTTTCCTGAGGCTGTTGGGAAAAGGAAGGAGTTTTGACATAGAAGCAATCAATTCACAGAGAAGCAAAGAAGTGCTGGAATTGGCTGTTGGCCCCTTATGTCCACAAGACCCAGAAACTGAGAGAGATAGTAGTTAAAATTGCAAAGTGTTTTCAAAGTGTTTTCCTGAAAAGATCCAACTTTGACACAAAGGAATTGTTTACTTTTTAAATATACATGTCTGCAGGAAATTTTATAAGGTCTGTATCCATGTGTATGTGAGTAGATCTCTCTCTCTCTCTCTCTATCTCTCTCTGTCTCTCTCTCTCTCTCAGCTTTTTGGATTTTCTCTTTACCTTATATGTTACAAACTTTTACAAACATGTGTCTAAATGTGGATTTTTAAAAAATTCATTCTGCTTGCCACTTTGGGAGATATTTTTTCTATCTAAGGACTCAGGCCTCTTTTTTTTTTCTTGCAAAATTCTTACTTTTCAAACATTGTCCCCCAAGAACCCTCTCTATTTTCCATATCTAGAACTCATTGAATAATTATGGAAATTTCTAGATTAATCCTCCCTGTCCCTTAACTTTTTATAATACTTTTTCTTTGTGATCCATTCTGGAAGATTTTTTTCAGTTTTATCTTCCATTTCATGAATTCAGTCTTGAACTATACCCAGACTAATACTCGACAAATCTATTGAGCTTTTGTTTCAATAACCGTATTCTTCAATTCCAAAATTTCTAATTTTTTTTTCTCCAACCGTGAATTCGTGTTTAATGGATGCTATTTCCCCCTTTGTTTCCATAAGGATAGGAAAACAGTTCTTTCAGGGGTGAGTTGAGTGCTCGTGCTTGCAGCCTGTCGTCCTGCTGCTGGGCCTTCTCAGAGGGCCTCTCCCTTGCTCATGTGGGATGCGAGACTGCTGTTGGGATGATGTAATTGTGGTTTCAGCCTGGGACCTGGTGGAAGCAAGATTCTGGGCTCCTATAATATATAGGAAACAACGCCCCAGCCTCAGCCACATGGCTGCAGCTTGCAGCCACGCCGCAGCCCTGGGTGGGCGGCTGGGTTCTAACCCCGGACCCCACCATGGTATGGAGACCCTGTCCCCTGTCCCCTGCCCCACCTGCTTGGCCTGGCTCTGGACCTGGCCCGTCGGAGGAATGTGGGTCAGGAGTCCACTTATCCTTGCTGGTTTTCTCCACCCCTGTGGTGTAGAGAGATTGCATCAATTCTTGTCTATAGAGATTTCCCATTTCCTTTTCTTGTTTTTGTGCTGGCTATGTGCTTATAAATACATTTGAGATCTTTAAAAGTATGTGTTGGGGAAGAAGAGAGGTTGCAGGCTGAGCTCAATCCAACATCTGGACCCTGATATCTAGTGAGGAATGTCTCAGGAGAGGCATAGAAGACTCAGGTGCAATGACAGAGAAGCTCCTGGCTTCATCTCTTTAGATTCTGAGATAGGGAGGCATGGGAAAGGAGGAATAACGTAAAGGTAAAGAGGGGAGGAGGAAAAGCAGAGTCACGGACGGAGGACCACGGAGCAGGGGCGGGTGGGAGCCACCTGGCGATTACAGGTGCTAAAGTCGTGTTTCTCCATCTTTTATATTTAAATAATGATTTTACTTTATGGATCCTGAGGAAGGAAGCTTAGCAAGTGCTTATTCATAAGCATTTTTCTCATGATCTCTTCATGCCATAACATATGTGTATGGAACATAAAGCCCATAGAGTAAAATCATTTCATTAAGTGTGTGGTTAGTGACATGTGGTTAGCACACATTATTTCCTCCTTTCTGCCTTTGTAGTAAAAATAAAATGTAAACAAAGTTGTTGAGGACTTTTGATAGGAGTGAGAGGGAGGGCTGTCTTCTGGCCTTCCAGACTACTTCAGAACCACCGATAAAAATGTGAATCTAATATCGAGGTTAATAAACTTGTCTCAGTGTTGCTGATTAAGACGATTTTTTTTCCTAACCCAAATGTAAGTGTTTGGAACTAGTAATTCAAACCATTGTTAAGCCTTAAGGATATAAGTCTGGCTTAATGCCCAGAGAGTCAGTAGACTCAGGCTCTTGAATGTTATTTAGGAAAACCAATCCTAAAAGAAGAATTCCTCGCTAAAATGCAGATTCCAGAGACTTCTGAATGTGCCATTGGCAGTTTCAGCAGATGTACATAAGCATAGAAATAACCGCTTTACTGGGTTAAACGGTGTCACCCAATTGTGTGTCTACCCAGAACCTCAGAAGATGACCTTGTTTGGGAATGGGGTCTTTACAGATGTAATTAGTTAACATGAGGTCATACTGTATTAGAGTGGGCCCGAAATCCAATGGCTCATGTCCTTCTAAGGAGAGAGGATTTCGAGACAGAGAGGAGACAGAAGGCCATGTCACAATGGAGACACTGATTGCCAAGGAATACTAAGGATGGCTGGCAACCACCAGGAACTAGGAAGAGGACCTACCCCAGAGCCTTCAGAGGGACGGTGGTCCTGCCCACACCCTGCTTTCAGACTTCTGGCCTCCAGAACTGTGAGAGAATAAATCTGAGGTGTTTTAAGCTCCCAGTTTGTAGTAGTTTATTACAGCAGCCCTAGGAAACTAAGACATCTTGGGGAAAAAGTAGACACAGGGCCCAAGTAACAGTGTAAATTCCACCATTAACATCAAACACCAGGGAGGCAAAGGATCATCTTAGTCAAGGGACTTCCTTGCCAGGCTCCTGGGCACCTGGGAGGCATCTACCTGATGGTCCAGGGCCAGCTTTTCTTGTGGTCTCCCCGTTGTTAATGTGTGGGTCCAGGTTGGCACATGGTGACAGACCTCCACCCATTACACCCATTAGTTGTGAACGCTGACTAAGTGTCCCCCTCAAAAGTTTGCCAACTCTTGGCTTAGCTGCCCCATTTACAAGTTGCCCGTCCTTACATAAGTTGTCTGATTACTTATGTTTTCTATCTGGAGCTTATCTTTTTACATGTTGACTCAACCTACTTCACTGGGAAGAGGATCAAAATGGGAAAGAACAAAAGCTGTAACAATGTTAGCAGTTAATTTTTTTTTTTTTGTAAAGAGTTGGCAAAGTGTTTACTATCTAAATAGCTGGCCTCAGAATTCCTCTTGGGAAGGAAACTGTCTTTACACAAGAAAATTCCTTGGTAAAGACTCCCCAGACCACATCAGGACGGCATGTTGATTGGTAGCAAGGCTGCTGATAGCAGTTGCATTGAGACAGCAAAGCTTTTGCAATAGAGGCTATTATACAAGAAAGGAGGAGCAAAGGATGGGGCTGGGGGAGGGGAGTGTGAGAGAATTTAGCAAGACTAGTTGAAGAGATGGTGTGAATATGAATGCTGTGTGATACGACCCTTTCCCTCCTGTCAAAATACTCTAGAAATTTATGAATCCTTGAAGGAAGTGATTCTCTTGCTGTTATTGTTGCTTTGGAGACAGTTTCTCATTACACTTGACATGTTCCTTCATGTATCTAACATTTATTGAGCACACTGAGAAGAAATCATCTCCTCTTCCCATCTCCAAGAATGTGCAGACGTCTAATGGAGGGTGTTGGAATGCCACTGGACGTAGACTAGTAGGTTTTGTGTTTCTACACCAAGACTATAAGAAGCAGGACAGCCGCCAGCTTGTATTCAGTTACATTATATGTTTCTTCTTTTTAAGGCAATACTGCTGCAGGGGAGGAAAAATATATATATTCCTTTTACCCTTCCAAGTTCATGGCTGGGGCCCTATAACAAAAGACAGATTGACAAAACAAAAGCAAACAGATTTATTTAATGTGAGTTTCACATGACACAAGAGCCTTCATAAGGAAATAAAGACTCAAAGAAACAGTTAAACCTGCATGTTTTTACTAATAGGTTTGATGAAGCATGAGCAGTCATGGAGAAATTCAGTAGAGCATTGGTGTGGTTTGGCTCTGTGTCCCCACCCAAATCACATGTCGAATTGTAGTCCCCACGTGTCAAAGGGGGGACCTGGTGGGAGGTGATTGGATTATGGGGGTGGACTTCCCCCGTGCTGTTCTTGAGATACTGAGTGAGTTCTCACGGCATCTGATCATTTAAAAGTGTAGTACTTCTCCCCCTGTCGCTCTCTCCTACTCCACCGTGGCAAAGACATGCTTGCTTCCCCTTCACCTTCTGCCGTGATTGTAAATTTCCTGAGCTTTTCTAACCATGCTTTCTGTAAAGCCTGTGGAACTGTGAGTCAATTAAACCTCTTATCTTCATAAATTACCCAGTCTCAGGTAGTTCCTTATAGCAGTGTGAAAACCGACTAATACAAGCGTAGAGTACAAGGTAAGAGTAGTTAACTGGGGGAAACTTAACAAGGCCTGTTTGTTCAGATACTCTGTGTCCCTTCATCTTCAGAGATAAAGATACCCCTTTCCTCCTGGAGACGGGAGGGCACCTTTCATATGAGAGTCTTATGACGTGCTTCAGGGGAAGATCAGAACATTCTTCCTGGGTTTTCTGACCTGCTTTGTGGAAGAACGGTGGGGAAATTCAGAGAGTCCTTCCTGCATATGCTATATCTCTAATTTCCTCAACTTAAAATATTCAGTATATCAAGGAGCCATATTTTGGGGGTAGCATGTCCTGAGCCTCATCACTCTGATTGGAATATAGATTTTATACCTTAACTGAAGTTAGATTGACTGTCTCAAACAGGTCAAACTGATGACCAACAATATGTTCTATGTGGCTTACAGTGACAAGAAAAATAAAAGCCCATATTTACAAAGTTAGAGATTTCACATAGAATCTGGATTTCAGAGATCTCTTCAAAAACAGAGACATAGGATAATACTGCCAAAATCAGCAGGTGTTCCCCAGGGGCCACCCCTTCCAATGGGTACATCCCTGGAGGGTGACTCCTGCTGTCTCTTACCTCTCCCACCTCCCCAAGGCAGGGCACCAATTCCCCTTTATCTTTCACATGCCCTGTACTTTTCGTTGTTATGGTGGTTATGTCTCAGGGGCCATAATTCTACCAAAAGCAAGGGAAAAAAAGTGGACTAAGAGGATGGGGTTTTGACAAAGCAAAATGGGAGACAGCCTATATTTCTTTAAGGAAGTACGGACTCCTCCTGGCTGTTTAATCTGCATACCCTACTGCATGTGATGAAAGAATGCAACTTGAGTCCCTGGTTTATGAAACCTGTCTGCTCCCTGCAGATGGTCCAGCCTGTGATTCTGGACTGAAGTGACTTGATTCTAGCACTCATTTTCCGTCTCCATCACTTAGTTGCTAATCCTGTATTTCTTCATGATTTCTCAATCTCATCTTACCTAAAATTTGCCTTTACAACCAGATTGTAAATTTCACAGTGGAAGGGATTTTTCTCAGCAGTCCACCATTTTTCCACCCCAGACTCTCTTTCCCTGCCTGCTTCCTCCCTATCCAGGGGAGATCAGGGCAGAGGCTCAGGCAACCAGGACAGAATGAGCCACACCTCATAGCTCTGGTCAAAACTTACCTGGGCTGTAGCTGTTGAGTCCCAGTCCTTTTCTTTGTATCCTCTCTACTTTTTCTCCTGACTTGCTTTCCCCTGCAGCTTAGAAACTATGGATCTCCTGAGTCGGCTGCCTGCCCTTTGTGCTTCCTTTGTCTCTGCAAAGTCAGCATTCTCCCCTGGTGACTGCATCAACCTTGGACTTTTGGACCACATCTTGCTGTGCTGAGAGATCCACCTGATACTTTGCTCCCAGCAGAGTCTAGCCTACTGTCTTTCCCTTGAGTGGTTAATAGACTCATGCCTTGGTATACTCAAGCAATGCAATGTAATTCATTTAGACCAGTATGTACGGAGAAACATGTGCCTTTGACCCCCAAAATTCTTTCAAATTTTTCTTGCTCTTTGTCTTTTTCTTTTTTGCAGCAATGGGGAAGGGGAGAAGTCATCAGTTACACCTCCTCATATTTGTAGCTAAGTGGTGAGGTTCTCCTCACCATCACTTCACCATCCTTCCTTGGACCTAATCCTGAACATTGTCCTGATCCCTTTCCAAGTTACCCAGTGTAGAAAATCCCAACAGGTCCCACTGGGGAAGTCTTAACTCACAATGAGGGCCTTACCTTACCTTCAGCTACACAGAACTTGGTTTCCTCACAGAATTCCTCCTTGTGCTCAAAGAGCAAGATGAGAATTTTGGGGGCCCTTTGGATCTGGAAGATGCCAGGCCCAGACCCAGCCCTCACAAAGAGTTTGATTTATGGCAAATGTCAATGTCACATGTAAATGCAAATTGTAGCTATGGTGCAAATGAGAGCCCAGAGAAAGGGGACACTTAGCTCAGCTCTGGGTTAGCTAAGCTCAACTCAAGGTGACAAAAGGCCTGGTGGAAGAGACATTTATGACATTTGTGCAATAGTTTGACCAGATATCATTTTAAAAAATATTCCAAAGTTAAGCATAATTTATGTGCCATAAATGAAATTTACACACAGATTTTAAATGTATAGATTGGTAAGTTTTGACAGTTGCTTATACCCATGAGACCACCATCCCAAAAAAATTTCCATCCTCACTGGAAGGCCCATCTTCTAGTCAAAACGCACCCCCCCTACAGTGCTGATTTTTACTACCACAGATTTTTTTGCCCTGTCATTGAACTTCCTATAAATGTAGTGCATACAAAAGCATTCATTCAGTATGTGCTCATGGATCTGGCTTCTTTGGCTCAATACGATATTTTTTGAGATCTATTTGTGATATCAACATGAGTAGATCTCAAAAATTGTCTGTTTCAATGATGTCTTAGTCTGCTTCCTGTTGCTTATAACAGAATAACTGAAACTGAGTAATTTATAAAGAAAAAGAATTTATTTCTTACAGTTATGGATGCTGAAAAGTCCAATGTTGAGGGGTTGTATCTAGTGACAGCCTTCTTGCTGGTGGGGACTGTCTGAAGAGTTCCAAGGCTGGGCAGGGTGTAGGGGTCAAGTGTGCTAATGTGCTAACTCAGGTCTCTATTCTTCTTCTTATAAGGCCACCGCTTTCCCTCCCATGATAACCCATTAGCCTAGCCCATTAATGCATTAATTCATGAGTGGATTAATTCATTTATGAGAGCAGGGCCTTCATGATCCAGTCACCTCCTAAAGGCGCTCCCTCTTAATATTGTCACATTGGGGATTAAATTTCAACATGAGTTTTTGAGGGAGCAAATATTTAAGCCATAGCAATGGTTTCTTCTTTTCAAATTCTGTCACATGAATGTACTACAATTCATCTATCCATTCTCTTTTGGATGGACATTTGGGTTATTTTCAGTTTGGGATTATCATGAATGAAGTGGCTCTAAACATTGTGTATATGCCCATGTATTTTTTCATCAAACAAAGATTGAGTAGGTCAGTGTCTACAGCAAGGGTCCCAGACATCTACCCATGGGAAAGGAGATTAAGGTAAGCCATCGATCAGAGGTCCACTGGGTAAAATTCTTTGGGTAAAAACTAAGTAGGGGGCCTGTTCATGCTCAAGAAAGGAATTTTAGGATTACAGGGAAGCTGTGCTCTCTTGTGTGAACTGTATTCTCTTTGCAGTGGAAAAAGTCCTGAGCAGGGAGGGAAGAGAGCAGGGTCGAGACAGGGGACAGCGAAGACAGGAGAGCAAGGTGCCTAGGCAGCAAATGGAAGGAGGCACTCATGCTTGGGGCCCAGTGTACGCTGCATGGCCCTGAGGCCTGGCCCCTGCTGGGATAGTTAGTTCTTCATGTCTTGTAGTAGCAGAGATTGGAAATTGGTGGGATCTGCTATTTCTAGCATATTGTCCTCTCCTCAGAGCCTGATGGCTGGAGGCAAGCTGTGACAACGCTCTCTGCAGGCTTTGGAGAGAAAGGAGGGGAAGGAGGGGGTGTTTTCCTGCTGCATCATCCTGGTAGTGAGCCTTTGTGCTGAGATTTTGCTAGAAGGGACTGTAATTGCAGGACCAGCCCACACTGGGCCTACTGTGTTGATAACAGAATGTCAAGTTACCACAAGTCATGTAGCCTAGGCATGTGTAATAGAAAAAGACTTGACCTCCAACAACACCTGGAACCAATGATTCCTTCCCCACAGAACCAAGAAGACTGGGACATAAGGAGAACCTGAATGTCAAAACTTTTTCAGAAGTGAAGGGTCCATTAACCGGGAAAATCTGGGGCTATATTCTGTTTCAACATACCTTACCATAAATAGTCAAATTTGAAGCCCTCCCATCAGACCCTACCAAGCCAACATTCCTAAATCCTTTCCCTTGCCTTCCAACTCCTTAAAACTTGCTCTAGTCCCCGAATCGGGGAGACACTCTCATTGCACCTCCTGTGTCCTTGCTGACCTCACAATAAAGCCTTTCTTTTCTCAAAATCCAGTGCCATAGTATTGGCTTCTTTACATGTCAGGCAGCAAGCCCATTTGTGGGATAACAAGAGTGGGCCTGGCTCTACTTCTATGCAAGTTCAAAAAACGACAAAAACAAACAAGAACCAGACTGATTTCTTCAGTGGCAGCTTGGTGTTAGGAGAGCTAGATCTTCCTTACAATTCTCTGAGGGACTCAGGCAGGTCCCCTGCCCTCTCTGAGCTCCAGTTTTCTTCCTCTGTAAAATGAGGATGGTCTAACCTGCTGCGAAGCTCTCCGACATGATTGTCATGGTGACTAAACAGGAGGAAACATGGGAAATTGTGGGGAGAACATTAAATGTCTATGTATGTGAATTAATGTAGGGAAACATCCATCAGACTGATTGCTTGAGTGGTTAATCTGGCTTTAGATACTATTTAGGACTAATAACCAACACAATTTGAAAGAGAGCTGAGAGCACTGTAAATATGGGCTGTTTTGGTTTGAGCAAAGTTGAATGAACAAATGCCTTACATAAGCATTTCTTTAAAGCCTGCAGTTCCTCAAAGCCTGCACATCTCTTAAAGCATCTTTCAGTGGGTTCTGTGTTCGTTTGTTCTGCCTAGCTGAAGTCAGAGTCGACACAAACACAGTGTGTTATGTGTGTACTAGAAGAAAGAGTCAGTAATATGACAAAGGTAAGGGCAGAATTGGAATCTCATGAAGAGTATAACCACGGGCTGAGTTATTGAACTGTATGAAGATGGAAATGAAATAATGTATCTAACACCAGAGAAAGAGAAATAGCTGGGAAAGATGATGATATATTTCCAACAAGAATGAAACTTAGAAGTGAATCAGTTTTAAATAGTAAGGGAGCATAGCAATTATTGTATGCGGCCTTGTCATTTCTCAGATAAAAAGACCGAGGTCTGCAAAGTCTGATTTATTTGCACCTGGTGACATAGCTAATTAGAAGTGTAGCTGGCATTGGAATCTGGTTCTTCTAAATCCTAGAGGTAAAAGATGTCAGCCTGTGAAATGTCTTAGTTAAATTTAATTGCGAGTTTGACTGAATGTTCAGGTTAGGGCATTTCTTTCAAGAACTGAATAAGGCTTATGTTTTATTACAGAAAAAGGTCTATTGATTAGAAGCCATGTGACTGACTAAAGAAAACCAATGTGAATAGGAAGATGACTCAAATGTCTAAACCCCAGTAGGGAGAGTTTGAAAAGAAAGAGAAAGGAATTAGAAACAAATGAAACAACTAAACAAAAAAAAAAACATGATAGAGAAAAGTCTTGGGAATTTGCACTATTAAACACTTTCTGAACCAAAAAAAAAGAGAGAAATTTTGTATCACCAGGGCAGATTAAAATCCTTTCAAGGATAATAATGAGAAAAGAAAAATGAAAGGAAAAAAAACCTCTAGACAAAAGGAAAGACTTCCCACAGGTAATGACACCAGAATGCAGGAACCTGGAAAGCAGCAACAATGGAAGCTGGCTGGGGGCAGCGAGAGACAGGGAGAAAGAATGCAAAATGAACACAAAGCGGCTGCAGGATAGCAGTACCTGGGACCGCAGAGCGAGGGAGAGTGGATTCACAGCTCTGGGAAGGCAGTTTCTGACAAGGTGCATGCTAATAAGACCAAAATGCAGGCTTCACTTTGCATCCATTATTCATAACTTGGTTTTACAAGAAGTGCCCTCCTGCAGAAAAGAGGACAGAAAGAGAGATGATAAATGCCTCCACGGTGGGCCATTTCCCGTCGTCTACACCCCAGCGACCCTCGAAGGATTTCTTTGATTCCCATCTGAGGGATGAAATGAAAGGAGCCTCCTTGAGAGAGGTCATTTTAAAATTGGAAACCTGAAAGGTGAGGAAAGACAGTGGGTCCAATGGCATTGCAGTGAGCAAAGGACGGGGAGAAGGGGGAAAGCAAAATTAATTTGTTTCTCTGTTGGCTTGCAGGTCACTCTTTTCTTCTGCATGATGATGAGAAATAATAAATAAAACAAAATCTTCTTGCAAATAAACATTTTGCTGAAAGGGAATAATGATTTAGTACTGGGCTAATTTTTGTTTGGGGGCAAAAACAGTACCAAGTGTCTGGGTACTGATAATTTCCAGGGTGATCTAGTAAGTCTTGGAAATGCTCGGCAATAAGACTCAGAGACACATCAAGAATTCAAGATCCACCAGTCTGGCCAACATGGTGAAACCCCGTCTCCTCTAAAAATACAAAAAATTAGCCGGGCTTGGTAGCACACGCCTGTAATCCCAGCTACTAGGTAGGTTGAGGCAGGAGATTCATTTGAACCCAGGAGGCAGAGGTAGAGGTTGCAGTGAGCTGAGATCATGCCACTGCACTCCAGCCTAGACGACAGAGTGAGATTCTGTCTCAAAAAAAAAAAAAAAAAAAAAAAAATTCAAAATCCAAAGGACACTTTCTAAGACTAACTTTTACTGGATTCTCCTGTAGGGATTATAACCAGAACTGTCCATGAACAGCCACATACACCTTTGCCTTCTCTAGACCAAACCTTCCATGTCTTTAGAGTCTTTCCTTGTTAATGGGCCTCCCATGATTTTCATTCAAGTCTCCCCAGGTTATCTCTAGCATTAGTTCACAGCTTCACTCCACGCTGGCTTTGGAAAAGGCAGGTACTGCCTCTTCCCAGCCAGCAGTTATCACCTCCTTTGGAGGGTATGCCAGCCCCTGGTGCTACTTCAGTGGCTTGGCCTCCCATGCAGGAGATATTATAAAATGTCTGCATATTTGCACATAGCCTTCTTTATGTGGGTAACTGCCCAGCCACCAGACCCTGAGTCTTGCACTTTGGCTCTACATGATGGTATTAGCTGATGGAATTCTCTAGTCCCTTTAACATAGATTGTCTTCCTCTCAACCCTTTAGTTTAACTTGATATATTTTAAAACAATGATTAGCTTGAACTAACCCTTTCTTCTTCTCAAACCAGAAAATCGGAATGTGCCTCTGTGAGCCTGTTCCCTGGACTTGCCAGGGGACAGGCCAACCCCACCCAGTAAAATACTTATGACATTGCAGAACTATGTCTATATCATCACTTGTGGATCTTTTGGTTTTGAATTCTTTGTGTGGCATGTGTATACATGAGTTTTTTTTAGTGGGGAGAAGAAAAACCACAAATGCTCTTGGCAAATGTTGTTAGAAGGTATATTGGTGGTTCTCAAAAGCCAGTCCAGGCACTGTTGACCTAAGAATCCTGTGTGAGGCTTCAGAAAAATTCAGAATCCTGGGCACCACCCTGGATTATTTTATAGTTGGTCCAGGGTATAATGGCAAATCTGTATTTTTCTAATGCTCCTGGGGAATGCTGATGATTTGCCAGGCTTAATAACCAGTGGATGAACCATTTCCGGCAACATGCTTTGCTCCATGCTGGGTTGGTTTGTCTGAATCTGTCTTAACTGAGTGATCTATCCTTCATTCAACAATGCTTACTGAGGACTTTCTATGTGCTGGGCACTATTGTAGATGCTGGAGATGAAACGGTGATGGAAACGGATGCAATTCCTGGGGTTCTAATGTTCTATATTGCTCATGCTGAGAATGTCTTTCCCCTGCAAGACTTTTCTATTATGTCTTCCGTCCCCTACCTCTCTTCCCACCTCCAGACCATGTTTGTTAAATAAAAGAGAAAGAACATTTTGTTAACATAAAACTATTTATCAGGAAAAAAATCAACAATGATTTCTGTAAATATGTTGACATAATGCTTTGGGTAGCAGAGAGAGCTCAAGGCGTTCGCTGGAAGGAGCAGATCATTTTTGGAGAAATGAGATGAATATATCAGTTTCCAGATCAAAAACTAGAATTTGGTGATTCTCTTTGTCAATAATCATTGTGTTATACTGAAAAGCATAGTCAACGTTACACCAAAAATAAACCTGTGTCATCACACTTCTTGCGTTTTTGGGGTGGGAGGAGATGGGTTGGTGTTAGTGCTAGGAGCACACAGACACTCCCATGAACTGGTCTGCCTGGGATGGCAGTGTGTGTTCCAGCATGAGCAGAAATTGTGGAGACAGAGTGGAAACCCAAATTGGACCCAGGGATGTGACTTCTAGGATCAACAAAAAGATCATCTTGCCATTTGACTTGAATGACTAGAAACAGGTGCATTTCACTTCTAGGTCCCTAATGGATGTTGCCAAAGGCTTCCCCTGCAGCCCCAGATGTGCCCCTACTGCACTGTGGAGGGCCCACAGGCATTGTGGAGGCTACTGGGCAAGGCTTGTGTCTGAAAAATACTCTCAAATACATTTGGAGCAGGATTCAAGGAAAATTTCCAGGCAGAGGCATTTTATTTGCCTCTCGAGTTTCAACCTGTTTTCCTTCTCTATCAGATTTGTCTTAATTTAGTCTGAGGTCTGTGCAAGGCATTTTATGACCATCTAAGACAGTCTTAGAGTTGGTCATTATACATGCTGGCCCTATGCCTAGAACCAGACCCAGAAGCCTCAGTGTCCCTTGGGGCTTATAAACCGTCTTCCTGTTTGCATATGGTATCCCATCCGGCTACATGTCTTTGCCACAGGCCTTTGCAGGCCAGCCTCATCTCAGGGCACGAAAAGTTCAGCTGTCCTGAGACAAAGGAAGGACCCTGACACAGCTCCCACTGCCAGGCAAGCCATCAGTTCTGCACAGTCTAGTGGCTGCTAGTATGCTCCCTGGCCATGCACTCAGCTTCATGGGGACACCAGGGGAATGAATGTCTTGCCTTCGACATATTTATGCTCTTCTAAACACTCAGAGCCACACACTGGCCCTAATGGCAGGGGATCACTTGAAAACCTCTAGAAAGTTTAGGTTCACAACAAGATATAGATCTGCTTGAATGTGGCTTAAACTACTTTCCCTTTCCCCCAGGAATTGTACAGAACCTACATGCAAGCATAAGCTAGTAACTCTCCAATTATTTTTATGTAAATTCCCTTCTTTTCAAGTTTTCTGCTTTGGATTTTTTAATCCTATACCTTCATCCTAAACACATGGTCTGTTGGCCCTACCACTGCCTGGCCAAGGCAGGGACGTGAAGTGTTCTCCTTAGACAAAGCCAAGCATGATGAGAACGGTGGATTTATACCTGACTCTACATTTAGATTTGAGGCTACTGCTCGGAAAGGATCCAGACTGTTACACTGCCTGGTGCACCTGGGTCTGACTTGGCTAGTCAGCTGCTAGCTCTTGAAGCTGACATGGCGTCTGGTCACAGGCTTCATCCAGGCACACGCAGTAGCCAAAAAAACTAACACCCTTTGTCTTGGGCCAAAGGAGTCACCAGGTCTGTCAGGAGGTCCCAGAGAAAGGTCTTGTTGTTGGTGGGTCTCATTAATTACTTTGTCACAGCTCAGCCACCCACCTGCTATCAGGCAATTGTTAGGAAAGAAGTTCGACTTCCTTAGCAGGTGAGTGGGGACTCATCCCCAGACTGCTTCAGTGTCACATAGGCAGCTCCTGGAACTCACGGTCAGGAGAAAGCTCTGCTTCGCCCTCCTGGTACTCAGTTGTCCCACACCCTTCAGCCACTGCGGCACCATATCGCTATTACTGATGGAGCACCCCTCTCAATTAGCCAGCACTTCCTGAGTAGTTACTGTGTGAGGGACACTCACATGGTGCTGCAGGGAAAACCAAGGTGAATGACAAGAGCTTCTGCCTAGAAGTTGCCTGATGTGTGCCAAGCACTTGCTAAATGCTTTACACGTTCCATGTCACTTAATCCTCTCTACATCCTTCACCATGGGAATCATCGTCTGCACTTTCAACATAAGGACACTGGACCAGAGGGAGGAAGCGACTTGTCTAAGCTCACTCAGGGAGAAAGTGGCACAGCTCAAACCTAACCCCAAACCTGTATTTTTCTATCTTAGTATGTCTGCTTCCGGTAAGTCTACAGTCTAGGACAGAGGGAAGACACGTACATGAAATTAAAAAATAAAACTATTATGCAAGTTTAAAGGGATAAACTCTATAACAGAAGTATGTATAGTGGAGGTGTTCAAAATGTGAAAAGGACATAGAAACTACAAATCCAAGTGCAGAGGAGGAGGGCAATTTATTGGACCAGGTAAGTTGGTCAGAGCTACCCAAAGGGAATGGGATTGGGTGAGTCTTGTGTACGCATGTGGCTTAGTAAATGGAGGTGGAAACTAAGAGGAAGAGGATCTCCTAGTGTGTGTGGAGAGTGCAGATGAGACTGTGTGCCATTCATCTTCAATTTTCCCATAGTTTCCTCCTGCTAACACAGTTGAAGAGCATGTTCTCTGATCAGTGAATATTGTACCAGCAGTACTTTGGGAAATGTTTGCACTTTGCTTGTGGGCACTTTGTGTGCCCATGTCAATGTTCCCTTACCCCAGATGTGAGCTGTATAGCTTGGCCTCCTGATTGACAGAGTCCCAGCTTGGTTTGGCTCAGGTTCTACCTCCATTACCCATCTCCTCATGCTGAAATGTGCCCTGCTCTTCTCTCGCCACCTGCTCAATTCTTAACACCAAATGACCAATTCCACCCTGGCTGCCTGCTCGGGATGTCAGATTGGGCACAGCATAGCCAAAAACCTGTATGTCACTTTCAATGGATGCGTGCAAATGACATCCTGGGTAACAGCAAGAGGAGGAGGCTGGACATCAAAGGCCATGATCTGGCCCGAGATCTGTCACTAACCATTTATGTGACTTTGAGTTTAAATTGCTAATCTGCTGCTTCCTCCAGCTCTAGCAGTCTATGAATCTATCCCAAATGAATGTTTTAACACCATATTTAACTTCTCTTTATCTTTGCGCAGGACAAAGTTTTATTTAGTCCTCAATAAACTGGTTAAATGAATGTCTGAAGAGTTAGAACTGTGAGCATGGGGGAACCTTAAGAAAGCTGGTTCATGAGGGAAGAAGAGAACCAACAGTAAATTGATAGAAAAACAGGACCCTAAAATATATAACATCATAGGGAAAACAAGAATGGAAACATTCTAGCATTCATTCTGCACCATTTCCACCCAGCTTTGCTCAAGTTTCAGGAAGAAATATGGGTCACTGTAGGAGGAGCCCACTACTGCTCTGTGCTGCAAGAGCATGTTTCTGTATTTCAAAATGTAAATCAATGATCTGGCCGTGGTGGCATGTGCCTTGAGTCCTAGCTACTTGGGAGGCTGAAGCAGGACTGCTTGAGCCAAGGAGGTTGAGGCTACAGTAAGCTATGCTTGCACCACTGCACTCCAACCTGGGTGATGGAGCAAGACCTATCTCTAAAATATTATATATATTATAATTATATATTATTAACATATAAAATATAATGTATGCTAATTATATTAACATAAGAAATATATGTTAATTATATCATTAACAATATATTACACTATATTAATGTATATATATTATGTATTATATATTTATATTTTTATATATAATTTTAATATATAGTATATAATGCTATGTAGATTAATGTCTGTTATATTAATATATTGTTATATATTACATCATACATTAGTATATAATTAGTAATACATTAGTATATAATATATTCATAATATGTTAATATTAATGTATTATAATTACAATAATATATTTTATATATAAATAAATCAAGCTGGTGATCTCTCACTGTGTAACACTATTGTTCATGTACCTTGCAAGCATTTAGTAAGGTTGAATTAGATATCATTAAATCTCCTAAAGTTCTCAAAGAAGATGATGTCAGTTGATGCATTTCTGCAGTCCTAACCTCCAAACACTCGATGAAGGGTAATTTTTTTTTTTTTTTTTTTTTTTTTTTTTGAGACGGAGTCTCGCTCTGTCGCCCAGGTGGGACTGCGGACTGCAGTGGCGCAATCTCGGCTCACTGCAAGCTCCGCTTCCCGGGTTCACGCCATTCTCCTGCCTCAGCCTCCCGAGTAGCTGGGACTACAGGCGCCCGCCACCGCGCCCGGCTAATTTTTTTTGTATTTTTAGTAGAGACGGGGTTTCACCTTGTTAGCCAGGATGGTCTCGATCTCCTGACCTCATGATCCACCCGCCTCGGCCTCCCAAAGTGCTGGGATTACAGGCGTGAGCCACCGCGCCCGGCCGAAGGGTAATTTTTTAAACCCATGTTTTATGCTTTCTCTGAGGGTGAAGCTGGGAGACTATAACTCTGATTCCATTTGCAGATCAGGAAACCGAGGTCCAGAGACTGGAGCTGACTTGTGCAACTGGCCTGATAAGCCAACTGCAGTCATTGGACCTCAGACTCCTAATGTTCCCTCCTGGTGCTTCATTGGAAACAATTTTTTAAACAAAGTGTACAATGCAAGCTGTTTTCTGTTATTGCCCAGTGGAAAGTGGAAAGACTAAACCAGGACAGAGAATGTGTATTAAATTTTGAAGAAGTTAAAACAAGAGAGAGAAAGGAAGGAAGGAAGAATTCATCCAAACTAATAAAAATTCTTGAGCAATTCTCCTTGGGATGACATTTAGGTGTTTACTTAAATTGCTGAGAATGACTTGGGACTGTGAAGTGATGAGAAAGAGGACAGGCTGCACTTGGCGCATGAGTCCCATGAAGCCTCAAATCCAATTTTAACTTGGAAAATATTTGTGTAATCATCTTATTCAGCATCTCCATGGTGTGAGAAAGATTGAGCAAGAGAATGTCCTCAGTGTCATAGCCTCTTAAGTCATAATATGCAATCTTTCAGGACCTTGGTCTTTGGCATTCCACTGGCATAATGCCAGCTCCAACGAGGGTGGGAAAAGCACACAAGGAAAATGCAAGGGGGTGCATGGAGGATGCACCTCCTGCTGGGAAACAAGCCCTCTCTTTCTAAAGGAGGAGCAGGCTATGCACAGACACTCACACTCACCCCACCCAAGCTCTGTCTGGCAAGGTCCATCTGTGAAAGGTCAAGGCCAGCCTTCACACCCATGTGATTGGCCCCCATCCCATTGTCTAATGGGAAATGACTGTGCAATGTTGGGCCTAATGTCATGATATGTGCAAAATGTGCCCCTAAACTTCCTCTGCAGAATGAACCTGTGCTGGAACCCCTCACAGCACATACTCTCAAACTTCGCACACATTGATGCATATCCTAACAACTAACATTTTCATGACATCTACTATTTACGGAGAACATTCCCATGTTCTACCTTCTGTAATTCTCCAATCAACTCTGTGTGCCTGGCATTCTGATAAGCACTGCACATGAATGACTACACTTAATCCCTTACAACTCTATGACATATGTACTATTTTTTAAATTTTTAAATTTAATTAATTAATATTATTATTTTTGAGCTGGAGTCTTGCTCTGTCACCCAGGCTGGAGTGCAATGGCATGATCTTGGCTCACTGCAACCTCTGCCTCCTGGGTTCAAGCCATTCTCCTGCCTCAGCGTCCTGAGTAGCTGGGATTACAGGTGTCCACCACCACGCCTGGCTAATTTTTGTATTTTTAGTAGAGACGGGGTTTCACCATCTTGTCCAGGCTGGTCTTGAACTCCTGACCTTGTGATCCACCTGCCACAACCTCCCAAAGTGCTGGGATTACAGGCGTGAGCTACCGCGCCCGGCCTGACATATGTACTATTTTAACCCATCACCCGAGTAACACACAAAGCTGGAAGCATCACTTATCTGACTTCAAATTATATTATCAAAACGTTATGGTACTGGTATAAAAGTAGACATATAGATCAATAGAATAGAATAGAAAACCCAGAAATAAAGCCACATGTTTTCAGCCAACTGATGTTTGACAAAGCCAACACTGGGGAAAGGACACTCTTTTAAATAAATGGTATTGGGAAAATTAGATGGTTCATATAGAATAATGCAACTGGACCCCTATCCCTCAGCATATACAAAAATCACCTTAAAATGGATTAAAGACTTAAGTATAAGACCTGAAACTATAACAATCCTGGAAGAAAACGCAAGTAAAATGCTTCTAGGCTTTGGTTTAGGCAAAGAGTTTATAACTGAGACCTCAAAAGCACGGGCAACACAACCAAAAATAGACGAATGGGCCTCAGTTAAACTAAAACACCTGTATTCTTAATCACTAGGTTATTCTGCCTCCTTGTGAGAAAACAGGTTCAGAGAGAAGTATCAGCATAACCATAGGCAAGTGGAAGAAAGCAGGAGATAGCACCAGTCATCCTGCCTCATGCTTCTTATTCCAACCCTGCAATTCTTAGCACAATGCTGTGGAGTATTCGTATGGAACAAATAGACATTGCAAATGCCTTCTAGCAGGCTCTCTGCTCCCCATAATGCCCCTCTGGGCTCTGTTCCCCACACGGCAGCCACAGTGACCCTCCTAACACTGACCCACATCACAGCTCCCCTCTGACCCAGTAAGCTCAAGCCAACATCCTTGCAGGGCCCTAAAGAGAGGTCTCTTTGGTTACATCTTCCCCTCTCCTCTCCCTGCTCCCACTGCTCCCGGCCACACTGACCACTCTGGGCATCATTAAACATGGCAAGCAGAAATCCACCTCCATAGCCTCTTTGCTTCCTGTTGCTCTGCCAGGAAGGCTCTTCCCACAGATACCTGTGACACTTGTTCCTTCACCTCTTTCAAGTTTCTGCTCAGCTATCTTTTCTCAACTGTGCTCTCCCAGAGAGGCTTCCCCTAAAGTCCCATTACTCTCCACTCTCTTTACCCACTATTTTCCTTATCATTTATTGCCACCGGACATGTTTTTTCCTTTTATTTTTACTTGGCATGTAATAATTGTACATATTTATGGGACGCAAAGAGATATTTTGATACATGCATGCAATGTGCAATGTTTAGATCCAAGTAATTAGTAATTAGCATATTCATCACCTTGAACATTGATCATTTCTCTGTGTTGTGAACATTCAAAATCCTCTCCTCTAGCTTTTTTTGAAAATGTACACTAAATTATTGTTAACCATATTAGCCTTACAGTGCTACAGTACACTAGAAGCATTCCTCCATCTAGGCATAATTTTGCAGCCATTAACCAACCTCTCCTATCCTCCCTCCCTCCTACCCTTTCCAACCTCAAATGACCTCAATTCTACTCTCTACTTCTATGAGCTTATTTTTTTCTCCCACATATGCATGAGAACATGCATTTATTTTTCCATGCCTGACTTATTTTGCTTAATATAATGTCCTCTAGGCTCATCCATGTTGCTGCAAATGACAGGATTTCTTACTTTTTTATGGCTGAATAGTACTCCTTTTGTGTGTGTGTGTGTGTGTGTGTGTGTGTATATATATATCACACTCAAATGTGATATGTATGTATATCACATTTACTTTACCTATTCATCTGTTCATGAACATTTGGCCACCTGACATATATTCACTTATTGCTCTCTTATTTTTGTCAAACATAAGCTTTTTGAGTGCAAAAACTTAGTCTGTTGGCTTCTTTTGTTGTTCATTGATATATCCCTAATGCCTAAAATAGTATGTGGCACACAGAAGGTGTTCAATAAATATTGGCTGAATTAATACATAAGCAATAGTCTAGATAGAAGCATATAGGGCATAGCACAGTCTACTCAGTATAGTGCCTAGCACTTGATAAGAACTAAAAGCAAATATTTATATATGTAAAAATAGATGGGACTTGAAATATTAATTCTATTTCCTATTTTGTGTAATCAGCAGAAAAGAATGTTATAAGAGCTTGTCCGATTTGGTTTGGTTTTAAATTAGCAATTCAGCAGCAAAGAGGGAAGCCAATGATAATAGCCAAAGCCAAGCCAGAAGTCTGGGAACACATCACATGCCGGTGAAGACAGCAAAGACGTCACTGGTGTACAGCAATCATCAACCTTGCATTGCCAATAGCAGCTGTGGGCTGTAGGTTTTGTGGGAGAGCCCTGTCCAGCTGAGAAGGAAGATGGAAGAAGGCTGGGAGCTCACAGTGGTTTAGGCAACTCTGCAGGATTGATGCACCCCCACAGCCTCTAAGCTGGAGTGTCTGAGATCTGAGGATGCAAAGCTCACTCCTAACTCATTCATGGACTTCAAAATGACTTAAGAAATATCTCCCGGAAACTCAAACTTAGAGCCTCATCCTTTTCATGCAGTTTAGAACTCATTAGGCCATTTGACCTAATCACAAGGTAAGCAGGCAGAATAATATCTAACTTTGACCTAAAAGAACCAAATTAGAGAATGATTTGCTCTTGGTTTAAAATTCAGTTCATGGTTCTTTTTACTGTTCTTTGTGACAACCTCGGTTTCAACACATCTTGGCTATGCATCTTGGTGTGCTGCCAACTCAGCCACCTCCCTTTTCTTTTACAATATTTTCCTTCAAATTGATTGTAGTTTTATTGGAGGAAAGCCAAATAAATATGGGCTCATTGTCTTCACATTATTTCTTATGTTATTTTCCTAATAGATGAGCTCATATGGAGCCTTAGAAATTCAGAGAAGTTTGGCTTCAGGGTAAATTTGTTAGCTCAAATACCATAGACCAGGCATTCAGAAAAAGGCCAATTTTATCCCATCCACCATTTTTCTTCGATGTCCCAAAAAATGCATTTGCTTCTAAAATAAATAAACTATACAAAAAAATTAAAATACAAACATCAATCCATCTCATTGCTTTCTCTTACATAAAACATTTTCCTCTGGGGTGTTTTAAGAAAACGCCTTGGAACAAATTTGATTCTCTGAGTAAATATCATGGTTAGAGCATAAATGTGAAAGAACTTTTGGGAGACTATGGCAGCCCCAGTATGTGAGATCAGGCAGTTGGTAAGAAGAGGCAGAGATTAAATGAATTTACAAGTACAACAGCTACTAAGCAAAGAACTCTTCTAAACAGAAAGTGGGAAATTGCCTCCTTCAGACTTGAGAAAATCTTCTGTAGGGCTCTTGGCAAATATCCAGTTTGAAACGAACTAACTTCTTTAACTTCAAACAGCCTCTCACCAAGCTTGTTTTTCTTTCTTCTTCTATTCTCCCAAACAGAATGACTTCCTTCACTCTTAAACTGTTCCCCTCTGGCACTCCTAATTAATTTAATCTAAGCTTCTCTTAAAGGCTACTCACCTCTGTTCTCCTGCAGCCATTCCCTTTCCTCTTGCCAACACTCTCCTTCTATGCTTCTTGGGTTCATTATTATCTTTCCTGTCACTGAAAAACATTTACAAGGAGGTACTTTTTGTATCAATAGACTTAAGAGATCCATCAGTTGGAGACCGTGTTATTCAAAACAAAACCATCACAAAAGTCTGGCAAGAGAAAAACCTATCCTCTCTCAGCGCTGGTGCCATTCCTTGAGGAGCCACTGGGTCAGAACTGAGCGTCTTCCGATGACTCAACCTCAGCTGGAGAAGAGTAGCTAGAAACCAATCCAAGGACAAGCCCAAGGTTTGTTAACAGATGCAAATCCTTTACCTTCCTTGTAGCTCTTCTCTGATCTCCCAATACGAGCTCAAACAGATGAAATGTGGGTACAACTCAGGGATGTTGCCAACAACAACCATTGCAACACAAAGGCAAATGCTCCGTGACACTTTCTTCATGCCCTCCTTGCTGGCAATACAAGACTGGTCATGAGCTTCCTTCATTTCTTTGTCAGAGGCCGCCAGCTGCGGGCTATGGGCTGTGGCATCCTAAAGAACAGGGTCTGACAAAAGACATGATTTTTTTTACTTGTAAAATGAAGAGGAGTACTAAGCCAATTCTGCAGATAATTCAGCCAACTTCTCCTCTCACAACCCACACCCAGGTGCTTTGGCCCACCTCTCCTAAAGCAAAATGGCTAAAGTCTATGAAGTATGACAGAATAATTCTTGAAAAACAATGCAGAGAGCTACCTAAAACAAACAAACAAAAAAAACCACATCGTGGCTTGAAAGGTAACTTTCTTCTCAGTTGATTGGTTATCTTCCTTGGGATATGCCTAGGCCAGTTTACCAACTGCCACCTATAAACCACTTCCCTCCTGACTTGTTACCAAATGAGAAGACTCTACCATCTTCCTGTTCTAAGAACCACCATTGGTTCCTCAGTGAATATTTTCCTGCCCCTCTTGTCCCCGCCTCATTCCTTTTTGATTACACCTATATTTACAATTTTCTTTGCCTGTCATTCCTTCTTATATTTCGAATTTCCTGTTTGGTATACATCTTTTAGAATTTTATTTAGTAAATGTCTATTGGTGGAAAACTTTTAGTTTATCTGTCTTTATCTTGCCCTCATTTTTGATATATTTTAAAAATAATTTCAACTTTCATTTTAGATTCAAGGGGTACATATGCAGGTTTGTTACATGGGTATACTGTGTCATGCTGAGGTTTGGGATACGAATTATTCTGTCACCCAGATAATGAGCATGGTACCCAACAGTTAGTTTTTCAACATTGCCCCCCTCCCTGCCTTTCCCCTATAGTTGCCCCCAGTATCTGTGGTTGCCATCTTCATGTCCATGAGACCCAATATTTAGCTCCCACTTATAAGTGAGAACATGCAGTATTTGGTTTTCTGTTTCTCAGTTAATTCACTTAGGATAATGGCATCTAGCTGCATCCATGTTGCTCCAAAGAACATGATGCCATTCTTTTTATGGCTGCATAGTATTCTGTGATGTATATGTTCCATATTTTTTTTTTATTGAATCCACTGCAGATGAGCATGTGGGTTGATTCAATGTCTTTGCTATTGTGAATAACGCTGCCATGAACATATGAATGCATGTGTTCTTTTTGGTAGAATGAGCTATTTTTCTTTGGGTATATACCCAGTAGTAGGATTGCAGGGTCATATGGTAGTTCTGTTTTAAGTTCTTTGAGAAATCTCCAAACTGCTTTCCACAGTGACTGAACGAATCTCATTCCCACCAGGAGTGTATACTCATTCCCTTTTTTTCCACAGCCTCACCAACGTCTGTTGTTTTTCACTGTTTTTGACTTTTTATTTTTTTTTTGGAGATAGAGTCTCACTCTGTTTTCCAGGCTGCAGTGCAGTGACGTAATCTCGGCTCACTGCAACCTCCACCTCCTGGTTCAAGTGATTGATTCTCCTGCCTCAGCCTCCCGAGTAGCTGGGATTACAGGCATGCACCACAATGCCTGGCTAATTTGGTATTTTTAGTAGAGACAGGGTTTCACCATGTTGGCCAGGCTGGTCTTGAACTCCTGACCTCAAGTCATCTGCCTGACTCAGCCTCCCAGAGTGCTGGGATTACAGATGTGATCTACTGTGCCCAACCTTTACTCTTTAACAGTAGCCATTCTGACTGGTGTAAGATTGTATGTCGTTGTGGTTTTAATTTGCACTTTTCAAATGATTAGTGATATTGAGCATTTTTTCATGTTTTTTTGGCCACTTACATGTCTTCTTTTGAAGAATACCTGTTCATGTCCTTTGCCCACTTTTTAATGGGGTTGTTTTTGGCTTGTTTATCTATTTAAGTTTCTTACAGATTCTGAGTATTAGACCTTTATCAGATGTATAGTTTGTGAATATTTTCTCCTATTCTGTAGGCTGTTTACTCTGTTGATAGTTTCTTTTGCTGTGCAGACACTTTTTAGTTTAAATAGGCTCCACTTTTCAATTTTTGTTTTCATTGCAATTACTTTCGAGAACTTAGTCATAAATTCTTTAGCAAGGCCAACGTCCAGAATGGTGTTTTCTAGCTTTTTTTTTTTTTTAACATCCTTATAGTTTGAGGTCTTACATTTAAATCTTTAATCCATCTTGAGTTAATGTTTGTATATGGTGAAAGATATGGGTCCAGTTTCCTTCTTCTGCATATGGCTAGCCAGGTATCCCGGCACCATTTATTGAATAGGGAGTTCTTTCCCCATTGAACAGTATATTTTCTGTATAGAATTATAAGATGCGCGTTGTTTTCTTGCAGCTAATTGAAGACATTATTTCTATTGCCTTCCGGCTCTCATTGCAACTGTTAAGAAGTCATTGATAAATCAGGTATTAGTCTCTCACTCCTTTGAAGATAATGATTTTGGGTGTGGATTTTTTTGGCTGCTTTTAAGATCTTCTATATTTTCAGTTTCTGCAATTTCAACAAAATGGGTCTAAAACTGGATTTATTATTATTTGTCATACATAGAATTAGTCTACTTCAATCTGTGGACTGGCATCTTTAATCAGTTCTAGAACATCCTCAGGCATTATTTTTATAAATATTGCCTTTGCCTCATTGTCTGTCTCCTCTTTTTCCGAAACCTTGATTCTATATATGGTAGACCTTCTTGGTCTATTCTCCACATCTCTGAGCTTCTCATTTTATAAATCTCTTATGTTTGTGTGCTTCATTCTGGTTAATTTGTTTTGTCTTTCAGTATACCAACTGTCTCTTCATCTGGGTTTAATATGTTGTTATACATATCCATTACATTTTAAATTTATTGAAAACTTTCCAGAAGTTCTACTTTTTAGACCTCAACAGCCTTAAAATATGTTTTTCCATTTCTAACATACATGTTAGAGCTTGACTTTTATTGTGTTAAATGTGATTGCTACATGGTCAATAAAGTTTGCATATGATAATTCTAATATTCCTGATGCTATGATTAGTTCTCCAGGGCCTCTTTCCCACCCTGAAGCTCCCTGTAGTCAGAGCTGCCTCTGCTCTCTTTTCTTCGTTTCTATAACTCTAGGGTCTAGCATAGTCTCCAGAACATGTTCAGCCCCAAGTAATATGTTATTGAATTGAATTGAATTGTTGCCTTTTTCAGGAGAATCAGGAGTGATCTCTGCCACCTCCAGTAAGTTTATTCCTGATGTTACCCTGACACCCAATAGTCAGACTGTCCTACCTTCAACTCTGTCATGGCTCACAAATGACTATCACACTTCTAGGGGATCCACAGAGTGAGGCTGAGAGCTGTCAGGACCTCAAAGAACTCTAAAAACCTGGCTGGAGTATTGGCTGTCTTGTTAGGAGCTGGGTCACCTTGGACTCTTTGAGGAGAAAATGAATGTAAGGAGCTTTATAAACTGAATTGCAGGCACTTGTTCAATTATTTACCACACAGCACTTTTTGAATATCAGTTCTATGCAGAGCTCTATGCTAATGCTGGACAAGCTGAAATGCAGTCACTGTATGCCATTCGCAAATGGCTTTGAGACTAGGTAGGGAAATAGGCTATCCAAAGAAGATCATCAACATCCTAAGACGGTGTTTCTAAGTACCAGATAAGGAGGCTAAATGATTGGAGTCATTTCTCCGGGCTCAGATTGCTGGAGAAGGTTTACGGAGCTGCTAAGTTTTGGGATGTACCTTAAGAAAGAACTTAAACTGCCAGAATTGGACCAATCTGACTAAATGGGGCTGTGGATGATGGTCACAAACGCAAAAACTTGCAGGACAGAAAGACAAAGTAGTGATGCAGGCCAGTAATACAATAAGAAGTGGTTGGGACTGTGGCAAAAGAAAAGAGAATGTTCTGTCTAAAGGTGGCAAAAGTGACTCAACTCCTTCATAATATTGAGACGTGAGAACATGGCCTATGATGCCAGAGCTTCTGCTTTCAAAACAAGTGCTGAAAATTGGGTTTCTATCTGATGTTTCTCGGTTTTTAAAACACGATTCCAGTATCACTCCTTTTAAAATCATGTCTGTGTGATGAATTTGGTCTACAGGCCACAAGTTTCCTACCTCTGCTTTAGATGAAAACACAAGTGTAGTAAATTGCTTCATTTCACACTTGCATGTTCGTATCTTTCTGCTTCACTACTCTGAAAAGCTGATGATTCCCAAATCTGTATCTTCAATGCCAGTCTATATCTTGAGTTTCACGTCCGTATGTTTAGTTGCCTATTTGGTGTCTTCATCAGGAAAGGCACTTCAAATTTGACATGTCCAACGTCACATTTTTCTGCTCTGACCCCCAATCTATTCCTATTTCCTATTTCACACTGGGCCTCAGTTTTCAATCTGTAAATAGGGATAATAGTAATAACCTGCCCCTCCTAACTTTTAAGGTTGTTCAAAGAAAATAATTGTGTATAGAACAAGAGAAATGAGGTGAGAGAGATTGCGTATTGTATGTGAACTGAAAAGCTAACTCTGAGATAACTACTTATTCTGCAACATGCTTGTCCATCTTCCTACTGATAGAGATGAGAAAGACAGAGACAATTTTGATATATCTATCCAACTGTTGCCCTAGACAAGGAAAGGCAATGAAACACGAAATTTGTAATAAGCTTTTGTTACTCAGACCAGACTCATCCAGAGGAAAATAGATAGGGTTGCCAGTCAAGTAGCATCTCACTGTTGAGTTCAAGTAGCATGAACTTACCAAACTTTTTTTTTTTTTTTTTAGAATTATACAATCTGGAAAACAGTCTGTTGGCTTCCCATTGTATTGGCCTCATTGCGTCCAGTAAAGGATGCCTGAATCCTCTAAAATTCAGGAAACTTTAGGACCCATTGTTGGGGGTTTTGAGAGATGGAAAGCGAGTTGTGCAGCCTTGGCTGGGCTGCAGCTGCGGAACATGCCTATGGCAATGGTGACTTCCATAGAAGGTAGGAGTCAAACAAGTTCATACAGTAGAGAAAAGTCCTTTCTAAGAGTAGGTAAGAATATTGGAAATTATTCTTCTTCCATATTTTAGGGCATTAATATTCAGTGAATATTGAGCCTGAGTCATAGAGCCAATCAAGGCACATATCTCAGGTATATGACATTGATGCACCCTGCCATGGGTAATGTCTCAATTCTCACCTTATTAAATATCCACATAAAACAAACAAAACTCTAATGATCAATGACAGTATGTGGATATAAGAGGTACTAGTAAAATTGGTTTTAGAGAACCTATGTTAACTTATCTGAGTTTTACTTGGTATTAATTGTTACTAATATAAACTCTGAACTTCTTTCCATCCTGTTTTGCATTATATCTATAAATATAATTTTGTCACTTATTATTTCTATTTCTGACCTAAGTCCTCTTCCTTCCTCATCCCATCTCTTTTCATCTCCTCTTCCCCTCACTGATTAGACAGCACATTCTCCCTGGATGGTTTTAGTCATTGCCACTTTTTCAATTACTGTATTTGAGGGAAAGTTTCCCAAGTCTCTAGCTCAGTCTTCTCTGCTGATTTCAAAACTATTAACCATGTACTTGAAATTTCTGCTTAGATGTCTCATTAGCTGTCTCAAACTGAACAGTTCTCTCTCTAATGTCCCTTATCTCAGTAAAGGCATCACTATCTTCAACTCTGATGCCTTGTTCCTTTACCTCCCACTTCCGTTCAGTCACAGAATTATGATGATTCTACCACCTAAATATAACCCATCAATTTCTTTCTCTCCTACTGTGGGTAGTTTAGTTCAGGCCGCAGTGATCTCCAGCCTAAATTATTATACCAGTCTCCACTGGGTCCTAATCCTCCTAATATTGTCCCTTCCCATTCCCCTCTCTGATCTGCTGCTGGAATAATCATTCTAAAGTGAAAATTTTTCCATGTCATTCCCCACTTTACAATTATTGTCCCAAGCCCAAGAATAATGCTTTAGATGGAGCAAGTACTCCACAAATACATATAAAGACACAAATACATTAAATGCAAATAAATGGAAAAATATATACCTTGTTCCCACAAATCAAAAGAAAACTGGAGTGTCTATATTATTATTATCAAAGTAGATTTCATGGTAAAGAATAACACCAAGGATAAAGAAGTCATTTCATAAGATAAAGAGGAAAATCTCCAACATTGCATAGCAGTCCTAAAAACATACACACCTAATAACATAACTACAAAATACCCAAATATATGACACATAAAGCAAAAACTTCTCGGAGAATTACAAAGAGAAATAGACAAATTCAGAATTATGGTTGAAACTTTATTGCCCCTCTTTCAATAACTGATTTAATAAGTACACAGAAAATCAGCAACAATATGAAGAATTTGAACAACAGGAGAGCCAGGTAGCAAGTTTGGAGAACTACTACTTAGTCTTGCGGATCTTAGGCCCAAATCACTTGCTTGTTGGCTTTTTCAAGTAAAGAGCCTTTGTTTCTATTGCCAGGATACAGTGCTCATATTTGATGTGTGTGTTGGTTAATGTCCTGGGTGCACTTCCCTGAAATCATAACCTGGCCAATGTCATTTTCCATGAAACTCTAGGCCTCTACAGCCCTAGACTCCTGGGTCCCCTTGTCTTCTTCCTAACTGGAAAAATGTTAAACAACATCGCTACACTTACCCTTCTTTCTTCTTCTCTTGTCCTTCAGCAGGAGCTTTTGGGGCACTAAAAGCCAAGTTTCTCATAACTAACTTTTTTTAGTGGTATGTTATAAAGATCTTTCCAGTTGATGCAAAAAAGTTCAGTGAACTTTTTTATTAGAGCTATTTTCTCTCTTGGTTATCTTCCATAATTATAATAACAATAATCACGAACCCTTATAGAGCACTTACCATTTACTGTGTGCCAGGCAGAGTTTTAACATGCTTTACATTTGATTTTCACAATAACCTGTGAGGTAGGTAATATTATTATCTCATTTTACAGGTTAAGAAACTGAGTCATAGTGAGGTCAAGTAATTTGCCCAAGAAATAACAGAGAACAGCACCCAACCTAACAGTATGGCCTCCAGGGGGTATTTGACCCACATGTTATATGTGCCCTAAAAAATAGATTCCATAAAAGGGCATACCTTTTTCTTTCTGAAATTTTAAAATAATTATTTGAAAAATGCTTGAACAAGTAAGCTTTAAATAGTTTAATTCTGTGGCTTCTGCTGAAGTTTAAGGACTGCAAAAGACTGCCTCTTCCTCCAGCTAGTCCTTTAGACAGATTTAAATTATAATCAATGAAACATATTGATGCTATGTTTCCTTTAGTCAAAAGGATAATTTAGCTGTCACAGAAATGAGGAAAAATGATCATATTAGAGAAAAAGATTGAGTGATCTCTGTACTTTCATGAGAATGTTTTTCTTCTGCCACCTGGGAGAGGATAGTCCTTCCTTTGCAACTGGTTGCAAAATCTCAAGAAGTCAAGCATAGTAGCGTAGCTGCTTATAAAACTGTCCAAATTTCACAGAGCATGGCTGTGGCTTATAGAACTGCTCATATTTCACGTAGCATAGCTGTGGCTTATAGAATTGCCCACATTTCACATAGCATGGCTGTGGCTTAGTCTTAAAAAGAAAAAGAGAAGAAAGAAAAGACTGGTGATCAATCAGAGGAAAAACTCCTCCCTTTCCTACCTGCTTCCTAGGTCTATGCTTCCCCAAGGAAAGGGCCTGAGGGCAGGACCTGAGCTCCCGTGAGGCACTACATGGCAAAATAAAGCCAAGGTGGACAGAGAACCTTGTGTTGGAAAAACGTCAAGGAGGAAAAAAAAGTGAAACTGCACCAGGTCACCTTACTGCAGTCCCCCCATCAAAGGTCCCAAGAGGGAAAGCTGCCTACAACCTGGATTTGGCAGGTACTAGTGCTTGGAATTAAATTCATTCCTGTAGGGATGGGGCAGCCAGGGAGCAAGAAAGGGTTGGAATGCTTATGAGGGATTAAAATAAAAAATATTAAAATATTAAACTTCAAATAAAAAATAAAATCAAAAATGAATTAAGAAACTGCCCTGCCAACAACTTTGTCTTATAACATCAATAAGGATAAATTAAAGGGGAAAAGAGGGTAATAATGATCTGATTCACGCCTTCTGCAAAGTCCTTGACGACGCTGTAGAACTGGAAGGATGGCAATCCACCCTTTCATCTGGTTTAATGTGGTGGCAGCACAGTATTTTTTCATTGCCATGAACCACGCAACGGTCGACCTGTAACCACCCTGCTCCCCAGCAGGCTCACACACCTTCTGAGAGTTGTCCTTCTGTGTCTGCCAAGCCCTGATGATAAGGTGTGTTCCTCCACATTAGTCATAGAGGAGACTTATGGGGAAGGTAGAAAAATCACTTTCAGATCAACGTCAAAACCAACGCTTGCTGTGCAGGTCTCTGCAAATGCCCATATTCAATCTCTACCACTCATTCCTTTGTTATTGTTAACAATTATATAAGTTTATTATTAAAAATTCAAACAAGTACACTAAACAGCATCTCATATCCAGTGATGGCACTTTGGTTAGCCTCCTTCCAGGCACCTCTTTCCCCATCCAGAGAGTCAAGTATACATTTATTCCCTTTATGGAAATGCTTTTTCTCTACAGTCTACAACCATGTTTTGTTCATTCAGCAATTGTAATGTGCCACATGCCAGCAATATTATTCACAGTCAAATGATGCAAACAGCCAAAAGAAATTTGTAACCTAATATTTTTCAGCTGTCTTTTTATACATATATATCTAATGAACACATTGTAATTGTACGTATTAATGAGGTACAAACTGATGTTTTGATACATATCTACGTTGTATGATGACCCAATCTGCTGTGTTCTTATAGTGGCAGGTATGTCGAAGACCTGAATGAAGACCGTACATGACTTACCTCCTCAGAAGAGGAAAGCAGTGCGCATTTCTACCAAGGGCAGCTTCATGTAGAGGGTTTAGAGGAGGGAAGTACCCATTCAGAACAATTACTGCCAGGCACTTTGCATTTGTTATCTCACTAAATTATCTGAACAATTGGAAAAGCCAGGTTTCATCACACAGAAAGAAGGAAACAGAAGCCAAGGAAATTACGTAGCTATATCCCAAAGCTAATTTGCAGAGGGTCAGGATTGTAACCCAGGTCTCTCTGGCCTCAGGGGCTATGAATGCTCCCATAGCAGGTGTGCACACGCCCAGCACCCAGCCCTCCATCCATGCTCAGTGTGAGAAGCAGAACGTCACACACCATAGGTGAGTTCATGGACTGCAGTGTCACTTGTGTTTCTTGCAACATGATCTGGGCCTGGTTATTTCTCCATTCTCTGATGGTTCCATGCATATGTGCCAGAAAGCTGAAAAAAACATGCTCTCTGACTAGCAGGCTCACCCTACCTAGAACAGATGGACCAACATGTGGAAGGCAAGTATGGGGGAGGAAGGGAGAGGAAACAGGAAAAACAGAAATGGGGCCAAGCCACAAGTGGAATACATTTTTCATTATTACCTGATTTTGACCGAGGGTAGATGCATTAGAAACCATCCTAAATTGTTCATACAGTGTTTACCTGAAAAGAACATACACTTAACTTCAAAGGGAAATAGGTTTAGAATTGCAGTCAGCAAGTCCCATTTGAGGCTCTGTTCTTTGAGACAGCTGCTGTCTGGGGCTCTTGTCTGGCCCCTGCTGGGGCCTCAATTTCACAGCTTCTCAGGGAAGTCGGCTTGGAGTGACAATGGTGAGACAATGGCTATGACAGTTTCATCACCATCCTCATAATCATGCCTCTTATAAGAGCTTATAAGATGTTTTCACATATATGACATCACCTGATCTTTATAATCATCTCTGACTTATCTCCTCAGAAGAGGAAAGCAGTGGTCATTCCTACCAAGATAGAAATGACCTGATCTTTATAATAATCTCTGACTTATCTCCTCAGAAGAGTAAAGCAGTGGGCATTCATACCAAGATAGAAATTATTATTATTAGGCAATAATATGACACATTTAATAGCGTGATGTAATAATTACTACATCAGTCTTATCCAAGAAGAAACCAGTGTTTGGCAAAGTGATACAACTTAGCTGTGTTCACACGGTTAGTCGGTGTCAAAGCCGGGACTCTAGTCAGATCTGCTCCCTGGTCTGGCACATTTTTGCTGTAGTATATCATGACAAGGTAAAATGACAAACTTCCTAGGTTCACTACAAGACTTGTATTTTATCATTCAGGGAGTATCAGAGATTGAGAAGTATGGTGACTCATGATCCTTTTATTTGTAACTAGCGCTGTCTGTTCATGCTAATTTTTCTCTTTGTACATGTGGCATTAAAGGCTAATGCATGATCAGCAAATCTTTACAGACTAGGTATGTGTCATTTGGACTATGATGACAAAGTGTGTCTCGAGTGATACATTTCCATCTGAAATGACCTTTCATGCATTAAGGGTAGTGACTGAGAGTTTTGGAGGCAGGACCCTCCAGAGCAGGAATGGAAGCCCTTGAACTTGTCAAGTTACTTCACTAATGGAAGCCTTGATTTTTTTAATCTTTAAAATGGGGATAGCAATGTCTACCTTGTAGGGACATCATGAGTATTAATGAGATAATGCAGATAAAGTTCTTGGTCCCAGCAAGATCCTCCATGAATGGCATCTCTTATCCTTATTCCGGAGTTCTTTCCCATTATATTTAAGCTTCTAGTATTGACATCTTCTTCCTTATCAAAAGTTGCTCAACATACAGAACCTAGAAGGAAAAGACTCTTTCCAAATAGCAGATGGCCAACCATTGCTTTAAATTGTTCAGTTGTGGAGCTGACTTTAGAATCAGATCTGAGTTCAAATTTCAGCTGTACCAGGTGCCCTGGGAAAGTCATCTTCCCTATCCCAACTTCAGTTCCCTCATCTGCAAAATGGGGATCATGATGTCTATTGCACAGTGCTGTTGTGAGAATGACATGGAAGTGCCTGACCCAGAGGCAAAGCTAGACAAATGCTACTGCTGTTCTGGATGTTGCTGGTTTCAGAGGCCGAGCCTGTGTGAGGAGATGGCCCAGTGTGGGGCTGTAGAGCCTGGGGCTGCTGGCATTTTGGTGGGGGTTGCCCTGTTTGCTATCCATCTCTGATCGCTGCAGGGGCCTCTTCCTGCTGTTCCTTTCTGCTTGGCTGTGCTGTTCTTTAGAGTCCCCTGGGGGAAGACAAAGGTGAATAGAGCTGTTTAGTTTGGAAAAAAAGCATCTCAAGGGCAACCTAGTCATGGATTCCACCAAGGACTCTTATGAAGAGGAGCTGTCCATTTGCTCTCTATCTCCAGGGAGGACAAGAAATGGGGATGAGAAAATGAGTTGCAGGAAGAGGGGGCTCCAATGGAAGGAAGAGCATCTTGCCTAGAAGGTAAATTGGTCCTAGGAGGGCAGCAACCAAGACTGCTGGGGAAGCCATCTCTGGAAATTCTTAAATGTAGGCATGACCAACACACAGCCTGGATCTCTTAGGTGGTAATCTGCTGCAAAAAAGGAACTGAGACCAAAGTAAATAATTCCATGGGTGTTTATAGAAGAGACTCTCAAAGATGTTCTGCACATTGGTATATGCACATGACATAAATTAAACCTGGGTTAATACACAGAGAAGTATGTGTGGTCAAGAACGTGTGCACACACACCTTTCTCTTTATGCTTTGGGTTCAAGGGAGCTCAAGAGAACAATATCAGGTACAGAAGCTATTGGCAGGCACATGTGAAGTCTCTTAAGCTAACAAGGTGGGAAAAACAGAGAACTGGAAGACTTGGCTAGGAGCGGTTCAAAGGGGGAATTAGACCATTGTGTGAGTTCTTGTTGTGGAAATCAAGCACCACCAGAATTTAGCCCTGGAATGGGAGCTGTGCCATTGAGCAAGTTCTTAGACATTAGCAAGGCAGCACAAAATGTACTTTCACTCTTTATGAGAGCCTCAGTGATATCCTGTACAGGTGAGGAAATTGAGTCTTCACCTAGTGAGCCCTTGGTTTCCAGCTCGAGTGTTTGAATGTGTCACTCCTTTTTCCTGTGGCTGACTTCCTCTTAAAGCCCAGGTATATGCTTAAAGTTCCCTTGCTCAGATTGGCTCTCTGCCACGGGGCCTGCTCTCTTTAAGCTCTCCATGAGACTCATTGCTCTAAAGTGTCTCATTTGTTTACCTATTTATTTTCTACCGCCTAGAATGTGGGCCACATGGGGCAGGGATCCTATTATCTTTATTTTTATATTCCTTCTTTATGACAGCGTACAGAAGTGCTGAATACATGCTTGTTGAACAAAAGATTAAACTCACTTTCCCAATAAATTGTTCTACTAAAAAGACACACGCATCCATATGTTCATTGCAGCACTATTCACAATAGCAAAGACGAATAGCAAGTGCCCATCAGTGTTGGATTGCATAAAGAAATCGTGGAATAGTACCATGGAATAGTACATAGCCATAAAAAGAATAAAATCATGTCCTTTGCAGCAACATGGATACAGCTGGAGGCCATTAACCTAAGCGAATTAATGCAGACATAGAAAACCAAATACCACATGTTCTCACTTATAAGTGGGAGCTAAACATTGGGTACACGTGGATATAAAGATGGCAACAATAGATACTGGGGACTCCTAGAGGGGAGAGAAGGAGGGTGTCAAGGGTGAAAAACCTACCTATCTGGTATTATGCTCACTACCTATGTGAGGGGTTCAATTGTACTTCACACCTCAGCGTCAAGCAATATACTTTCCTAACAACCTGTACATGTACCCCCTGAATCTAAAATAAAATTTGAAAAAAATAAAATGAAATAAACTGACTTTCCCACAATCCACCTTTGACTCCCAAGCCCAGCACCCTTCCAACTTGTTTCCTGCTTCCAGAAGACATCAAACTGGGCAGCGTAAATCTGAGACGCACGGAGTTAAGCCTGCAGCCAGGTCTAGAGCTAGGCACTGCCTGATTCTCCCCTCTGCTCTGTTCCTTTAGAAGCTCTTTTTCCAGCATTTGCCTTGAAAAGTCATTCCCAGAGTATTTTTATTTTTAATGGAGCAGGCTGCCAATAGAACTTTATTTATGGGTTTATATTTTAAGATTGTTGAGGATTTGCTTGCCTTGGGATATTTGGGTGGATCTGGCCCCAAGCAAGCTGAGCCTCAGCACCTCCCTGTGGACTAAGCGAGCACTTCCCTGAGGTCTGGCAAATGCCCTAGGGCTGCCTTCTCTTCTTTAGAGGACTGGGTAGGAGCCCAGGGCCTCAGACCAACCCATTCATTCCCACTACGAAAACAGTACTTCCACTGGGGCCAGCACTGGATGCCAGAGAGGAGGCCCTTCCTCTCCCTTCCCACACTCCTGGCTGTGGTGTGTGAACCTGGTCTTCTAAGAACAGAAATAACATCCTGTGTTTGCTCCCACTTGGCAGCCAGGCGGGTCCGGCGGGCCACTTGGCTGTCAGCCTGAGGAAGGAAGTCTCCAGGTATTGGTGAGAAAGTTGGAGGCAGGTTGCTGCCTAGAGAAAGTGCCATTTGCCATTTGTCAGGGTCACAGGGAAGAGGCAGCTCCAGGGGGGATCTCTGACCCTTCCCAAGCAGTGAAAGTTGGGAAGTGTCTCCCCCGCAGCTGTGGCTTCCAGCAGAGACCGGAGACTAGAACCAGCAGCACTTACAGAGATTTATAGCCCATGGAAGAAGGCTTCTCAGCTCACATGTTTACTTCAGAGAACTCTGTGGAGGCATCAAGGGCCAGGGTCAACATACACCACTGCAGCTTTGTCTTTCAAATGTTTCGGGCCGCATTATGTGTTTGGAAGACAGCAATGGGGTGAGTGGGGAGTGGGGAAGGCAACAGGCATTACTGAAAATTCACAAACATACACGATTTGGGCATGTCTAGGTAGTGTATAGTTAATGATGTTGTTCCCTTTTGTTCCTTACAACTTAGAGGAAAAAAGAAACATTTCCAGTTCTCCTATGTCAAAGGAAGCCCTGTTGCCAGGCCCTTCTTTTGAAAAAAAAAAAAAAAAAAAAAAAAAAAAAAAAAAAAAAGCTTGCAAATTGAGAGTTCCCAGGAGATTGGAGTTAATCCCCCAGAGCTAACCAAGGGAGAGTTGTAACCTTGAACATTGCACCATTGTCAGGGTTGTTTGGGGTGCTCTGCTTGAATGACTAAAGGAGACCCCCTCTCCCACCCAATCCCCTTCCATGCCCAGGCTTGGCTGGCAGCTTTTCCCTCTCCTGTGTCACCTCCTTCTGTTCCTCTGATTCCTCCCCCTCACACTACTCTTGGCTTCCTCCCGGATCAAGTCCCAAAGGACAAGGGGGATGCATAACCAGCTGGGAAGTGAGTGACCACTGGTTTAATGGCAACCGGCACCCTTCCCCTCTTCCAAGAGGAAGAGCTGTTTATTTGGTTTTGTGAAATATGCAGAAGCTATGAAAATAAGCACTCTATTAATAATAAATGGAATGGAAAATAGAAGCAAACAAGTCAAAGAAAGATGAGGTGGAAGGTGAGTCAGTCAATTTTCTTTTAATTGCTCTCACATCAGTAAAAGTCAAAGGAACAGCAACCTCGAAAGTGTCTTAATCAAATAGAACGCCAGGAAGACTGCAGCAGGGACATCTCTTTGGGAGAAAATGCAGAGCAATCTGAGTTTAAGTAAGCTAAAACATACTCAGGCTGGCCAAAGGAAATCCAGTTGAAATTACATTATAAAAACAGAGGCCAGCTATTGTAACTTTTTCAAGTACCGCCATTTTTGGCACAGCATTGTATTTTTTAGAACTTTATCCATATACACAAATTCAAAAACAAGTATTTTAATCCCCTATGTTCAGCTAGAGTGGCTTCTTTGCAAACTAAAGGTTAAATTTTGCCAAAGTGATGAGGAGCCAATTGTATAAAGTAAACTATTGTCATGAATGCTGCCTTCCCCCCAAAAAAACCAACCCATGTGGTCATAGCTCATTACTCTACAGGGAAATGTACCACTAAGAAAGAAGGACATCTGCTTGGCTGCAGGTAACCTGTACAGGACTCCATCCAAAGGGCTTACTGAAAAGAACAGGGTACCAAAGGGTTTCATTATCAGTGGTCTCACCCCTAAGGCAGATCTGGGCGCTGGAAATAGTTAAACGTATACCATGTTGAAATGATGGCAGACAGATTCTAGGGTGGTTCTCAGGCTTTCCACACCCTGCTGTTCACCCTCTGTGTACTCCCCTCCCCTTGGTCTAGACCTAGGAAAATACATCACCTTCTCTAAGATTCTTTCCTAGCAGACTAGGGAAAGATTCTCCAGCTAACTTTGAAAAAGTCAGCTGTCATGTTTTGAGAAGGCTATGTGGCTGGGAGCTGAGGGTGGCCTCTAGGAGCTGAGAGCAAGTCCTGGCCAATAGTCAGCAAGAAAGCAGGGACCTCAGTCCTACAACTACAAGGAACCGAACTCTTCCAACAACCTGAATAAGCTTAGAAGATGAACTGAGCTCCAGATGAGAATACAGCCTGGCCAACACATTGACTTCAGCCTGGAGACACCCAAGTAGAGAACCCAGCTATGCTGTGCTCAGACTTCTAACCTATGGAAACTGTGAGAGAGCAGTGAGTGTTATTGTATGGTAATGTGTCATGCAGCGATAGAGAAGGAAGGCAAGATACATCCCGCTGTGTAGGCTGCTCAATCAGCTGGCTCAACAAACCCTGCATCAGAGCACTTTTCCAAGCTGCAGCCAGGAGATATTTTCAAAACAGGAAACACCCCTACTGCCATTCACAGCTGCTTAAACGTCTTGGTGGCTTTCCTTGGCACCTGGGATAAAGACTGGGAAACTCCTCTTGGCCTACACAGTCTCATATCTCAGCTTCCCTCCCCTTTCCCACCACACTGGCCTCCTCTTAGCGTGTGGTGTCCTCCAAATGCCTCCACCTTTCGGGACTGTTTCCCCTCCTCCTCCTCACCTGCAATTCCTCCTTTCAAATATGACATCCCCTCCAGCTTTTGACTGCTTTTGTTTGCTCTCCAATGCCTTCCAATAACTATTTTAAAAGGTTTTCCAAACATTTATCACTGTTGTCTACAAGAAAGGTAGTTTGATACAAGATCCTCCCTTTTCATCTAAATTCATCATACGGTTCTAAAACACTTACATTTAGCTATTCTCATTTAGTCCTCATAAAACATTACTAAGATGACCAAAATGAGTTAATTCTCTCAAGAGATAATTTACTTTCTCCCTTTCTGTATTCCAGGTGTTATGCTAGGCAGTGTTAGGTAGGGAACAAATCAGTGGGAAACAAGTCAGGTCCAGTCTCTAGCTTCACAGAGTTTATGATCTAACACAAGAGTCATTCGTTAAATGAATATAGTGAATTTTAGAGAGACCAAGGGCCTCATGCCAGGGCCCACAGCGGAGTAAGTAGCAGAAGTGAGATTTAACACCAGAGCTCGGGCTTCTGCATCAGTGCACACAACACAGAGTATTTTTCATGAGGCTACCCCATAAAAGCTAGACCATTCATTCATTCATTTAAAAAATATTCATTGAGTACTTTTACTCTACCAGGAACTGTTCTAAACACAGAAGATACAAAGAGGGCAAAAATAGAAATTCCTGCCCTCATTCTGCCCACATTCTAAACAGTTATTACTTTCTTAAGTCATATGTAAATAAGACCCTTAGTGTTATTTAGATATTCTTCAAAGACTGAATTTTGTGGAGCATGTGTTTTTTATTCACTATGGAGGCACATAACACTATGAGCTTTGCTAAAATAGGTTGATACAAGGAATACAATTACAATAAAATGTTCTTTATGATAAAACCACTATCTGGTGAATGGGCCACAGAAACAAGGCTTTGTCAATTTTTTAATGTCTATATTAACAAAACAAATGCAAAAAATAAGACCAAGATGAATATATTTTTATGAGTCCTTATTTACACAATAATCAGTCTCTTAAAATGACAACTGTGGCCGAACACGGTGGCTCATGCCTGTAATCCCAGCACTTTGGGAGGCCGAGATGGGTGGATCACGAGGTCAGGAGATCGAGACCATCCTGGCCAACATGGTGAAACCCTGTCTCTACTAAAAACACAAAAATTAGCTGGGCGTGATGGTGTGTGCCTGTAATCCCAGTTACTGGGGAGACTGAGGCAGGAGAATCACTTGAACCTGGAAGTCGGAGGTTGCAATGAGCAGAGATTGCACCACTGCTCTCCAGCCTGGTGACAGAGCAAGACTCCGTCTCAAAAAAAAAAAAAAAAAAAAAAAAAAAAAAAAAAAAAAAAATGACAACTGCAAGGCCTGATTATATATTATTTTCATAAGAAAAATCTGGGGAAAGGAAGAATGAGAGATGGGCATAGAAAAACAAGGAGAAATAGGAGAGTTGAGTGACAATTTTTAGCAATTTCTTTTTCTATTATCAAGACATTTCATCTTCTATCGCCCATCTCTGCTCCAGGCATCTCAGCCACCTACAAAAAGACTCACTTCAACGCCCAGAGACTGCGTGTTGAATTTCATGATGAACTCAGATGGTTTCTTCCAAGCCTTTCCCTTCATTGTCACCTTGTGGCCCCGCCTATGCATATTGTCATTTAGCACAGATCAAAGCCTTACACTGAGAGGATGGAGTCTTGGAGACAGTGAAATCTCAAACGTCTGCCAGTGGGTAGATAAGGAGGTGGGGGCATCAGGGTGCATCCCTCAAATCACATCACATGTAACTATTTGGGGCAGGAAAGTTAAACCTCTCACTACAACAAATTACTACCATAAAATATCAATGAACTTTCACAAGGAAAATCAGGGCAAGGTGATCTATGTCACTATGCATGTCTGTTTCCTCTAATGAAATTTTGACTGGTTCTTTTCATTTGCTAATGAACTTCAGAGACTCTCCATTCTACTTTATCTCTAGGTCTTAACATTGAAAATAGTGTAATCATTTTAATAAAATGTTATCATTCCAGACCTATTTTAATATTTTATAGCATGATTCATTAATTCATCCAATATTTATTGTATATTTACTGCATGCTCTAGGAAATACAAAGATGAACTTAAGATCTAGTGTACTGGGAGAGTTTGCCAAACTTGTAATTCTGATCTACTATCATTGGCTGTAGAGCTGAATGTCACACAGGGTTGAGTTTCATAATACAGGGTTATGATAGAGGATACTTAACGAGAGATGCAGGGATCGTTGGGAGAGCTCAGTTTACTACAGTAGCCCTAGAGCTGACATATAGTGATCACGCAATCAACATTCATTATGTAAATAAGCAACCAGAAGAGAGACACGTGAGAAAGATCTTGGAAGTATTGTTTTAATAAATAGATCAGGAAGCTGGGTAGAAGAAATGGCACATACAGAGATGCAGAAGGAAAAAGCTGAGCAATGCGCTTGAGCAACTAGCTGCCATGCACGTACAGAAGGGCTGACCCCAAACCACCTCTCCAGCACCGTGTCTCCTAGTTGTCTTGTGACCATTTCTTTGCTCCATAAACCTCCTTCTCCTCCATACTTTATTATTCAAACAATGCTTTCACTCATATCTGTGAGCCAGGCTTGAGATCACGGGCCCTTTCCCTCCCTTGACACCTGCTCAGAACAGAGCCTGAATAATATACTCCTGAAGTTCTTCTTGGTATCCATCTCATCCTCCTAAAACTTTCCTTCAAAAAACACTGAAAGTTCTCATTACCACCAGTCTTGTTTGAGATCCATCTTTTCTCGCTGGATGTATGAAAGGCCTTCTTAATTTCTCTTCTTACATCCAAAGTTTCCCCATAAGGCATGCTCAGTACAACTCCCAGACCAGTTCTCTTGAAGCAGAGCCCTGGTACTGACATGTTAACATTCAAGAATATTTAATGTTTCCCAATTATATGAGGATTAAAGTCAAGGCTGTGAGTCCAGCAGAAGCTCATGGAAATAAAAAATGGAAGTTAAGGCAAGCATGCAGGTAGGAAAATGACTTTGGAGGCTTGAGAAAACCAGGCTAGAGGTGATAATATTCTATACCACACACACACACACACACACACACACACAAAGTGGAGGTAGAGAGAAGTAGATAAGTAGGAGAGCTATTCAAAAGTGGGACTGACTGCTCTTAGTGATGGGTTGAATATGGGGGGAAAGGAATTGGGGGTAGGGATGCTGCCCAGGTTTCTAAGTAGACGACAGTTTGCCAAGATAACAAAAAAAAAAAAAAAAAAAAGACAAAAGAAGAATCAGCTCTGCTTGGAAGTGGATATGGACTGGGGATGAGGAAGAATGTTGAAGTCAGTTTTGGGCATGTTGAATTTAGGACGAGTGGGTGGAGATGTCCGGGGCCACTGCCTTTGTAAGACAGGGAGCTCAGAAGATATGTTTGAGCCTGTACGAATTAACATTTGTTGTGTGACAAGCCACCCCAGAAGTCAGTGTTTTAAAAACAGCATGTTTTATTATTGCTCTTAACTTCAAGTCATCTAGGTGTTTCTGTGGATCTGGACCAGGCTGGCTAATCTGGGCTAAGCTAGTTTATGAACTTACCAGTTAACTGATGGATCGCCAGAGGACCAGGTGTTTTCAGAGGGCCTTGTAGACACGGTGAAGGAGGCGTCTTTGATCATCAGTTCAGCCCAGTTTACTGGGCTAGGATAAGGGGTTCCAAGATCAAAAGCATATGTGTGCAAAATATCTTGAGGTCCAAGCTCAGGACTGGCACAGCATCACTTCTGCATTTTGTTCTCCAAAGCAAGTCCCAAAGGCAGCCAGACTCAATGGTTGGAGAAATCAACTCCACCGCTTGACAGGAGGAGCAACAAATATTTCTGGCCAGGCTTTGCAATGTACCACAGAGCTGAAGAACAGATATGGAAGTCATCAAAATATCAATAACAGGTGTAGGTACAATTTCCCAGGGAAATGAGTAGGGTGAGAAGAGAACCCAGAGCAGAATGTGGAACCCCAAGGTACACTATGACACAGATTGTAGAAGATTCCATGAAATAAACAGAAGTAGCACCCAGGGATATAGGAGGTAACTAGAAGATGGCTGAGTCATAGCAAAGAAAATGATGTTTTAAGAAGGAAAGTGTTATGGTTCGAATGTGGTTTGTCCCCTCCAAAACTTAAGTTAAAATTTAATTGTCAATGTAACCACATTGGGAGGTGAGGCCTTCAAGAAGTGATTAGGCCAGTAAGAAGAATTAATGTCTTTCTCACAAGACCAGGTTAGTTCTCCAGAGAGCAGGTTTTTTATAAAGCGAGGTCATGCCTCATGTTTTGTCCTTTTTACATGTACACTTCCTGTTTTGCCTCTCTGCCACATTGTGATGCTATACAAGACCCTCACCAGAAGTGGACCAGATGCAGCTGTCTGATCTTGCACTTCCCAGCCTCCAGAATCTAGAGCCAAATGAACCTCTTTCTTTATAAATTACCCAGTCTCACGCATTCCGTTATAGCAACATAAAACAAAGACTGAAGGTATGTAATATAATGCCAAGAGAAAAGTACTAATCAGGCCAAGCACAGTTTCAGCAAGGTGTTAAAAAAAAAAAAACCCTAATATCTGAATAATGCTTATGTAGCTTGATAACATTTAGAAATTAATTTCTGGGGTTTCTCCAGATATTTTCTCTTTTTCTTTCTGCTGTACTACTACTGTGTCCATAATTGGTTCCTTCCTGTGGGTTCTTGGTCTCGCTGACTTAAAAATGAAGCTGCAGACCCTCGCGGTGAGTGTTACAGTTCTTAAAGATGGTGTGTCTAGAGTTTGTTCCTTCAGATATTCAAATGTGTCCGACGTTTCTTCCTTCTGGTGGGTTCACGGTCTCTCTGACGTCAGGAATGAAGCCGCAGACCTTCACAGTGAGTGTTACAGCTCTTAAAGGTGGCACATCCGGAGTTGTTTGTTTCTCCGGGTGGGTTCGTGGTCTCGCTGACTTCAGGAGTGAAGCCGCAGGTCTTGGCAGTATTACAGCTCATAAAGGTAGTGCAGACCCAAAAAGTGAGCAGCAGCAAGATTTATTGTGAAGAGCAAAAGAACAAACCTTCCACAGCACAGAAGTCGACCCGAGTGGGTTGCCACAGCTGGCCAGGGGTGGCCAGCTTTTATTCCCTTATTTGGCCCCACCCACATCTTGCTGATTGGTCCATTTTACAGAGCGCTGATTGGTCCATTTTTACAGAGCACTGATTGATGTGTTTACAATCCTTTAGCTAGACAGAAAAGTTCTGCAAGTCCCCACCTGACCCAGAAGCCCATCCGGCTTCACCTCTCACTACTACTGGGGTCTTTCTGCCCTCCCCAGCCACTTAAACAGGAAGAAAGCTCAATGCTTTATTGCTTCATGGGTGGTCTGTGGCAGGCTGGAGGGCTCACTATGCTTGCAAGATGTCTTCATCTTGTTTTCAATAGGCTAAGCTCAGAGGAGAAAACAAGATTGGCAGAGCAATAGAAGAGAACCAGGACTTGGAAGAAGCAGGAGGCAGAGAGGTGCTTGATCCTGATTTTAATAAAAAAGAGAGAGAGATTTCCCAAGACTAGAGAGGAGTGAGGCATGTGGATGACAGAACAATGATATGCCCACCTTCTGCCTTCCAGGGGGTGACACCTCAAAGAAAGAATTGGCAAAAATGGGATCATAAGGACAGTGGTTCCTGGCTTCTCCCAAGATTCTATATTCAAAAAGGAACCTGAACTTGAGAGCAGAGGGTGGGAAGGACAATGGCTCCACCAGCAGTTACTTGGCTGAGCAGATGGTAATGACCAGGGGCCACCATCAGCGCATTGGCTCATCATGTGGGCTCAGAACCTTAAAAAGACCCTGAGGGACTTTATGTCCCAAATAGAGTATGTGAGATGGAATTACAAACTACTGAGAGGCTAATTTATTCACAAATAAAGAAATGTGCTATTTCGCATACACCTGGATTTGTGGAGTGAGAGTCACCTTTGCCATGTCCACTATGTACAAGGCAATGTGTTAATGTTTTCAGTTCACTATCTTATTGAATCTTCCCAGCAGTACTGTAAATTCTGTTCTATAATTATTCTGACTCCATAGATAAGGAAACTGAAGAGCAGAAAAATCAAGTAAGTTTTTATGGGCTCAAACTAAAACATGGGAGAGCATGAAGTTGAACCCAGATAAGCTAATGTCAGATCCCTGTTTCTCAACCACCATGCCATTCTGGTCCTGATGATTTAAAGCCTTTATCCAAATAATGCAGGCAAAATAAGAGGAAATAATAACCAAAATTCATATGTGCACACACACACACACACACGAACACACACAAAACTTCAGTAATTGTACTATCCTCTTTTTTTCTGGAATTTGGTGGGATGTTTCTGTACCTCCTAGGAAATGGCCCAGTCCACCGTTTGTCTTGACCTGGCCTAGAAAGAGGTAACCAGGGAAATGACAACAATAATAATGGCAGACTTGCAGGTAAAAGAAGGTGTAACAATCCCAGCACTTTGGGAGGCCGAGGCGGGAGGATCATGAGATCAGGAGATCGAGACCATCCTGGCTAACACAGTGAAAGACCATCTCTACTAAAACTACAAAAATTAGCCGAGCATTATGGCACGTGCCTGTAGTCCCAGCTACTCAGGAGGCTGAGGCAGGAGAATCACTTGAATCCAGGAGTTGGAGGTTGCAGTGAGCTGAGATTGCACCACTGCACTACAGCCTGGACAACAGAGTGAGACTCCGACTCAGAAAAAAAAAAAAAAAAAAGAAGGTCTAACAAGGAAAACAATGAGAAATGATCATTCATTTCCTCTGCTAATACTTAGGAATAGGTTAATGGCAGTCAGTTGGAATCTCTTTTAGTGAATAAGAAAATAATGGAAAGGAGTAAAGGAAAAGAGTGCAGGATAAAAAAGAATAATGAAGGCCGGGCCTGGTGGCTCACGCCTGTGATCCTAGCAGTTTGGGAGGCCAAGGTGGGTGGATTGCCTGAGCTCAGGAGTTCCAGACCAGCCTGGGCAACACAGTGAAACCCTGTCTCTACTAAAATACAAAAAATTAGCCAGGCATGGTGGTGTGTGCCTGTAGTCCTAGCTACTCGGGAGGCTGAGGCAGGAGAATTGTTGAACCTGGGAGGGGAGGTTGCAGTGAGCTATAATTGCGCCACTGCACTCCAGTCCAGCCTGGATGACAGAGCAAGACTCTGTCTCTAAAACAAAAAAAGAAGAAGAAGAATAATGAGAATAAAGGTAGAGCAGAAAGGGTGAAAAAGAATTGGTGGAGAAGATAAAGCCCAGAGGGTGAACAAAAAGCAAAGGGCAGACTGCAAGGATCGGACTATGCTTCCCAGCCATCTAGCCCTAGGAAATCCTATTAGACAGCAAAAAATGAGATTATTGTATTTTTACTTTGCCACAGTATGCAAATGACTCCATTTAGCTGTTAAACATGTTGTTATTGAATTCTGAGAAATTCCCTTCATAAGATGTAATATTTTTGTGACAATATTGTCAGCAATGCCAGATTGCTTTTCTATTTTGGTTAAGCTTTTATCTGAGTCTAGTATATGTCATCTACTCCCAGATTCCAAATAATTGCTTTTATGCAATTTTTGTGTAAGCAAGAAATAATAACATGCTTAGAAATGTGAGAAATGTGTTAACCTTCCCATTATTTTTCAGGGCCCAGGAGAATTAGAGGGTGGGCCACAATAGGGAATGTAATTATTTCTCATGATGAATTTTTATGTATGTTAATATCCTTGAGAGCCCACATATCTGTTATTAACCACATTCATTTGTTTTGTTCCAGTCTTTGTGTCCCATGTTTTTAGTCCTACTTTTAGAGGCTTTTTGCATAACTGACAAAGACTTTTAAAACCTGTAAACAAAGGATTGTGAAATCACATTTTCTATCTCTGACACATTTATTCTTTCTTGGTGGCATCACTGTAATTCTGACTATAATTTAAAAAGAAACTGGACCCTCAAGACATCTTTGCAATCCCTGACACTATCATGACAATGCTTGTGGTTTCTGTAAATTTTTATTGATTTAGATGACTTTTCTGATAGAGAAAACTTCTCACCCATCCAGGATCAATCAGTGAGAAATAAAGAGGGAAGCAAATATGATAAATGTTTTGCATGATTCATTAGTCACAAAGCACATCTGCCCAGATCAGAACCATTTCACAGTCTGCTATATCTAGCTACTGAGTCCTGGACAATGACTACTGGGTTAGAAACAATAGTGACTTTCTTAAGAATAAGAAAGTCTAGTCATCTAATCAGCAACAACAGTAGTGTGATGGTTAATTTTATGTGTCAACTTGGCTAGCCCTAGTTGGTACCTGGTCAATCATTATCTGGTGGTATCTGGTCAATCATTATCTATGTGTTACTGTGAAGGTATTTTTTAGATGTGATTAACACTAAATCAGTAGACTTTGAGTAAAGCAGTTACCCTCCATAATGTGGATGGACCTAATCCAATCAGTTGAAGGTCTTAATGGAAAAAAGACTCACTTCCCCCCAGGAATTTTGCCAGCCTTTGGACTGGAACTGCAACATCAACTCTTCCCTAGGTCTCCGGCCTTCAGATCTACCCTGAAGATTTTGGACTTGCCGGCCTCCACAATCTCTGTCAATCATTCTCTCTTTCTCTCTTTCTATGAGTGTGTGTGTGTTTATGTGTATTTAAAAATCAAAATAATATAGAAATATGCACACATACATCCTATTGATTCTGCTTCTCTGATGAACTCTGTGATTGCTATAGGTAGGTAGCTAGGACCTACTTCCCAATTATTAACCTTCAATTGGCCAGGCTTTTTCTACCCTAGCTGGCTCATTGCTGGTAGCAAGGTTTAGCCAGACAACCAAAGAGTAGATGGAGAAACCACATTCTAACACCATTTTCCTGATTAACAGAGATTAACAGGTTCTTTACTTTCACATCAATAGAGATGCCTAGGTAAATGAAGATCTCCAAGGAGTCACTTAAGATAACTCTTGTTATAAGTAAGACCACTCTGGAACACCCCACAAGCATCCATTTTAAAGATTTTCAGCAGAACGGATGACCTCAAATCAGACAGAAACATTGAGGCAAATAAGGACCGACAAAGGCCTCTAGATTGATATAAACTAAGTCATTGGAGGATGTATCAGTTAGTTTTTGCTGTGTAACAAACCACCCCAAAATGTAGGAACTTAAGTTTTTTATTATTATTCCCAAGTCTATGGGTTCACTGGGCAGTTTTGCAGTCAGCCATTGGGTTGGCTGGGTGCTCTTGGTCTGAGATTGGTTACCAAATGTCTAGTAGTTGATGCTGGCTGCCCATTGCTCTCCAGGGTGCCTGGGCCACAAGTCTCTCACCATCCAAACACCAAGGGCTTTGTAAAGGTTTTGCTTTCTTTCAGCCAAAGTATTCAATGTTTGCATGCAAGGGAAAAAATATCACCTAAATCCCAAGCACACACATTGTTTTATGCCAGCTGATCTGATGGAGAGGGAGCAAAGGTCTCTTCTGTTTCCTTAGGCCATGGATTTAAAATAAATCAGGCAATACAGAATGCTCCTTTGTACTTGGTAAATTATTTATAATGGCAATTGACTAGAAAATATAGCCACAGACTTGGAAATAATAATTTTAAAAAGAGTTTATGTGACTCTATTAGGGAAATGGTGTGCTAATCCAGGTTTTGTTATCATTTCAGCCTGATGGCAGATTGTCCATGAAATCTTTCTAGATTCATGGAGGGAGAAGCTTTGAGGAAATGAATTCAGGAATCTAACGCAAAGAAAAGAAAGCGGCATAAACTTTCCCCCACCCCAGACCTGACATGAAACCCTAGGCGATCCCTCCTTCTCAAATGTTCATACCATGTGCCCTGAGTTATTTACCTAACAATGGTCATTCTTCTAATAACAGATCCTGGGATTCCTGAAACCATGCTTTCTCTCAGTGCTGTTGTCTCTGGGCACATACGCTGTTGAGATGGCGACATCACACACCCTTGAAATAGCAGTTGCACAAAGCAAACGTTTGCCCCAAGCATGTCAGACTTTTGACAGGCTGCAACATGATAAGTTACCAGACGTGTTCCCACAGGAGCCTGCGTGAATTGATTGCAACCAGACTCACCCGATGACAAGTGACAGACAGCGGATAATGCAGGGAGGTCAGGTGGGCTGCCAGGCCCAGGGCCAATTGCTCCCTGGAGCCCATCAACAAGGGACAGGACTCGGCAGGACCAGGCCGGCAGCCATCCTGGTTGGCTTCCAGCGGGTACAAGGAGAAATTGCAGCTGGCAGAAGCGCAGACTCCTGGTGCCACTCCAACACAGTGAGGGTAGAGGAAGGTGAGAGGAGGGTGTTACTCTTTAAAAGAACTCAGATTGCATATGAAATGCATCTCTTTCTTCTTGCTTTTGATCCCAAAATGAAAAGAGCTTAATCTCCTATCTGAAAAGAAGCTTTTCCTATGCTCTGCTGACACGAACAAACCATCAATCATTGCCTGGATTTCCTGAACCTCTCAGTACAGAGGCTTCCAGGCCAAGAAGGGTTGAGAAAGGCCTCCTTCCAGCTGAGGACAGTGAAGTGTGGTAGGAAGCAGGAGTCTCCCAGAAAGGGCATACCCTGTCTGATCCCTCCCTCTGACAACCTGCTCCACAAAATGATGTGGGGAGAGAGGGGTCATGGCTCAGACTCTGGGAAAACAGTGGCTTAGAAATTGATAAGTATTCAGACTGGACTTGGTTCCGAAACTGATTAAGCCAAACATCCTTTTCCCAGCTCTTCTGACTTCTCACTGCTGTTTCAAAGACCGCTCTTGGCACAGCAATGGGCAATTTCTCTCTTGTAAAACAGACCATAAAAAATGAAAGCACCAGATTTAAGGGGCACACAAACATGCACACACACACACACAAACACACACACATGCACACATATAAATACACACACATGCACGCATAAATACATACACATGCATGCATACAAATACACACAAAACCACAGCTAAAATCCTTTGTAATCCCAACCCAGCTATTTAAGTCATTCAGAACCTGGCTTGGAAAAGAGAGAGAGAGAGAGAGAGAGAGAGAGAGAGAGAGAGAGATGATAAAGTAGAAAGGTCTGAATAGGTTGAGTTACTCAGCATTCTGAATTTCAAAGCAACCTCTTACTTCCCAGGCTCCTGTCAATGTGCTGACACCGTGTATAATTTCAGACCTAAAACAGAGCTCTGTTCTTCTTTATCAGACTTTGGCCCTAAAGGCAATTTTGTCACCTCCCAGTACCATAATAAATTTAATGGGTTGTTGAATTACCTTCATGTGCCTGGGGCTTTGGCAGCATAGCTGTCTATAGCTGTCTTTTTATAACTTTTTATAAGGATAAAGTGCTGACTCTTTGTCCTTAGACAAACTTCAGATTCCATTGTGATTGACTGGTGGAATCAATGAGACATGAGATCAGGGAGTGGTTCTTGGGGTTCTTTTCCCTCTGAGAAAGCCATCTGACAGAAATAATCTTTGAGCCCCTAAAAGGTCAAGTTCCTATCGGACTCCTAATCTGGTCGACCCCTTGGGCTTGGCAGCAGAGTATGTAAGCAATGGCTGTGGCCAAGGTCTGAGCAGAATTGTGTTCCAGGTGGACAGTTCCTCCTTCCCCACCATGGTCTTCTGTCTCCACTTTCCAGTTGGGATGGGAGTAGCTTTAGCTTCTAGATCTGGAAGTTCATGTCGCCACCTTCTCTGGGCCACACCCTACCTGCTGGCTGCCACACCCATGTGCATGTGCCCCCTCCTCCAGCCCCAGAACCCCAACCCTCACCTGTACCCCAAAACCCCATGCTCGTGGAGACCTCAGTTTTAGATGAGTGGGGCTGGCTTAATCAAGCTGTTGGAAAAATCCAAAGAGAAGGACTAGTGAAGTCTTTCTCAGCCAAAGGTTGATTTTGAAGGAATCAATACAATCATCAATATTTTCACAAGGCCACTTTATCCTCCTTTTGGGGATTCCTCCAGAATGATTGTTGTTATTCATCTGTGTAAAAAGCTTTTTTTATTCACAAGTTCTTTGCATTCAACATACACTAAATTCTTTTATTATTCAGAAGGGTCAGGAGATGGAGTCAAATATGCTGCTTTAATGGCTCTCAAACTCTGATGTCTATAAGAATCACCTGGGGAGCTTGACTCTAATTGAGATTGCTGTGCCGTGACCTTAAAAGTTCTTATTCAGAAGGTCTGAAATTGGAATCGAGAATCTGCTGTTTTATAAGCTTGCCAGGAGATTCTGAGGTTGGTGGTCTAAGTAGCATGGCTTTTGTTAATAGTTTACCATTTGCAGCTAGTCTATTTTGACAGAATTATAATGCTTTCAAAATGGTCAAGGAAACCTAATAGAAGTACAGCTGACACATGAATAACACAGGTTTGAATGGCACGGGTCCACTTCTACGTGGGTTTTCTTCTGCCTCTGCTGCCCTTGAAACAGCAAGACAGACCCCTCCTCTTCCACCTCCTCCTCCTCAGCCTACTCAACATGGAGACAATGAGGACAAAGACCTTTATGATGATCCACTTCCACTTAATGAATAGGAAATACATTTTCTCTTCTTTATGATTTTCTTAATAGCATTTTCCTTTTTTGCATCATATAATATATACAACATACAAAATAGGAATAGGAAATACATTTTCCTTCTTTATGATTTTCTTAACCGGATTTTCCTTTTTCACAGTATATAATATATACAACATACAAAATATGTGTTAATTGACTCTTGACTATGTTATCAGTAAGGCTTCCAGTCAACAGAAGGTTATTAGTAGTTAAGTTTTTGGGGAGTAAAAAGTTATATGTAAATTTTTGACTGTGTGAGAAGTTGGCGCCTCTAAGCCCCGCATTGCTCAAGGTTCAACTATATAATTTTAAATGGCTTCGAGTCTGACGATCTGAGAATTCTGTTCTATATGCTTCTTCTGAAAGCTTTAGGATTTCTGCAGTGTGAAGTACCAAGTGATGGTCTCCTGTGGACCTTCGTGTGCCACAGCACCACCACATACGTGATGTTCATATGGAAGACCCTGTGAGCAGCTGGTTGGTGGGAGGCCCTAGTGGCTGGCTCGACACAACCCGGGTCATTGTGCCAATAGCAGAACTCATACCTCATCTTGCATGGCCACTCAGCCACACCTGTCCCAGAGACTCCACCCTTCACCTGCACTTGTCCTTGCAGACAGTCCTTGAGTCACAAAGAAAGCACTGGAAGAATCAGATAAGAAAATTATGGAATGATTGTTTGCAGAATCTGTGTTGACTTAGAGCAAGTTGCAAATGGGAGACATAAGGAGCAGAAGCAGGCAGGCCATGCTGAGAACAGAGAAAGCCAGGGCTTGTTTGATCTCCTTGGTTCACTGCTTGCCTGATATCCTGTAAATAAATGGGAATTTGCATTAAAACATCACCTGGCAGTGTTCCTTTTCAGCAAACACTGTGTTAAGGATCTGTGCTCACCTGAGAACTAACGCAGAATGGTCATGTTGTAACTTTCAGTCACCTCTGTGAAAAACCTGGCCACATTCAGAAGAGAAAGCATACATACATTTCCACTCACATGATAGGCCTGTTTATGGTCTGTATGTATTGAAAGAGTAAGAACAATAAATACCTAAGGCAGAATTTCATATCCTGACTCCACAGCAAATCCCAAAAGTGACTAGGGACCATCAGTAGGCCAACATGACCAGCAGGACCTAACCTTAACACTGAGGATGTGGAAGGTCGTGCTGTGTTACTAACTTCTCTGTAATCCCAGCTGCTAGGGAGGCTGAGGCAGGAGAATCACTTGAACCTGGGAGGTGGAGGTTGCAGTGAGCCAAGATCGTGCCATTGCACTCCAGCCTGGGCGACAGAGCAAGACTCCGTCTCAAAAAAATAAAAAACCTTCTCCAGTTAAAATTGCTAAGGCTGGTGACAGGGAAAACTGGGCAGAGAACAGATCCCTCCCTACATTGAAGCAGCTACCATGGGAGAGAGACTTTCAAGGTCTTTGTGAGTTTGGCCTTCAGAAATTCAAACCTTGCGGCTTGAGTATATGCATAGGATATAAGAACTAGAAGAAAGCTAAAAAATTATTACTTATTTTATGGTATAGGTGAGTAAACTGTCCCTGCAAAATGCAGTGATGTGTACCAAGTAAACATATAATTAGTAGTACAGCTGGTTAGATTCGCTGCTGAATTGTATCCTCCCCAAAGGAAGCCTATTTTTCATAAATACTGAAATACTTCATCAGATCTTTGTTGAATGGAGATTGAGAAAGGTCTAAGGAACAGAGAGAAAGAGACACTTCAAAAAATGCAATGAGTTCATTCAAGCTTCCTGATGATGGTGAGCGTGTGACATCTTGATATTTACAGTACAATTAATTCTGGACACTGGATCTTCATAACCTCAGTTGCCCTTGGGAACCTGGTGCTTCTTTTCTTCCATCCCCATCTCTGGGTGGCCATTTGGAGCTGTCTTCTTTATGGCTGGGACAAGTGGGAACTCTCCCTCTTATTTCTGCAGCATGTTGGTGAAAAGCTCTCAGCAAAAGGTTCTGGCTAAGGGTAAACCAAGCCTTTGCTTCCAGAGGCTGGAAGATCATGTAGGTCTAGATTATCGTCGAGTCAGTGGGCAGCAAGGCTAATGTTCATGCATCCTGTCCCATTCCAAAATCCCAGTCTCATCTAGAAAATCCATCTCTTTGGACAGGTCAACACTGATACAATGCACTTAGATTTGGAAGAAATGTCCAGTATGTTTGTGGGGGTAACCATTAGGTTAGAGTGGGCAAGAAGATCAGTGTGAGACCATAGTTAATACTCTTCCCAAGGGAAAACTCAGTGAGGTTCCTGCCTGCACTGATGCCAATGTGGGGCTCATTGGCCACCCAGAGACAGGGATGGAAGAAAAGAAGCACCAGGTTCCCAAGGGCAACTGAGCTTATGAAGATCCAGTGTCCAGAATTAATTGTCCTGTAAATATCAGGATGTCACATGCTCACCATATTCTGTTCTCCCCTCTGTTCTGTCCATATCAGAAGCACAATATTCAACTCTGGGTAGAGGACTTTAAGAAGCTTGTTGGAAAATGTCCCTCCTAAATGCCCTAAATGTGTGCAGAATACTGCTTAGGGTGGTGAGAAACACTCCTAATCTTGACGAGAGAATAATAGAAAATACAAGAGATGTTTTGTATGGAGAAGAGAAATACTTGAGATGGACATAAAAGTAATGTTCCAGTATGTAAAGAGCTGCCCAGAACAAGTTGGGATTTTTCTTATTCTTATGGCTCTAAAGAACAAAACTAGGAGCAGATTTATTTTCCATATGAATACAAACTTTTCAACAAAACAAGAAAAAGCATCCTAAATATTGAACACGGTTCATAAAGCAGTGTCTCCCATACACAGGAGTCTAAGGAGAAACTAGGAAATTATAAGCAAAGATGTCAAGGGTATTTCTTCCTCTACTAAGAGTGCCACAGAGGATCTTTAAGGCCTCTGACAGCCTTAAGATTCAAGAGCTCTGTGCCTGGAGGTAGAAGAGAGACAAATTATGAGCCTCTGCATGACATATTTCTTTTTCATTTCCTGGCCATTCAATTGCACTGCTAAGTGGACTCTTAGTTGGGGAAGGCACTTAGGTACCAAGCTAATCAGATGTCGGAGAAGACACATTCAAGTGAATTTTGTGCAGGACAGAACAAAATTCAGAAAGGCAAGCAGCTGCTCAGAGACTATATTCCTCATGTCCTCTTGGGACACCTCCTCTTGTATGTGACTTGTCTAGTAGGGTAAGTTTTTCTGTTGCAATTTCAATTCATCTTCCCTCCTCCTAGTTACCCATGAAAGGCTGCTCTTTAGGGGTGTGAGGACCTAAAGCCATTTGTTTACTGGAAGGAATAAAGACAGAGCAAATAACTGTCGTATTTCACTGGGTCATACCCTTCCTCATACATACAGCCTCAAAGAAAAAAAATCCTCCTCTTACCATATGCATTTTATTTCTACTCTCTGTTCATGGGATTTCAAAGTGTAGCCTTGAAATAATTACATTTTTGCAAAACAATAACTCTGGAATAAGCTTACCAGATAGTATTTGGAGAAAGAAGAGTCCCCCGTAAGCTGCACTCTACAGAGCCAGGGTCAAATGAATTTCTTCTTTCTTGAAAATAACCTAAGCCATCTTGAGACTTGGAGCTAGAATTCTAGAAAAAACAGAGAATCTAGAACACCCAGTGTGAAGCCACCTGACTCAAGGGGACTGAGGAGCTTATTCAGCCATTCACGTCAGTGATGGACAGGAAGAGAACGTGAAAGTCCTGAGCACTCAAGCCAAACTCTCACCTTCAGTTGTGGTAAGATGACGGCAATAACACCTTGCATTTACTTAATACATGACAATTTTATTATACATTTAAGACCTTTACATTTTATAAGTCTGGCTGTTGAAATGGTTTACAAAATATTTTACAAAATTTTAAAAAATAAAGTTTAGAAACTCCAGGTGGCCCTTCTACCATGAGAGGACACAGTGAGAAGACACTATCTATGAGAAAGAAGACCCTTGCCAGGCACTTAATCTGCTGGTGCCTTGATCTTCAACTTTCCAGCCTCCACAGTTGTAAGAAGTAAATTTTGATTGTTTATAAGATAAAAAAAAAAAAAAAAGAAGAAGAAGAAGAAGAGGAGGAGGAAGGAGAAAGGAAGAAAAAGAGAAGAAACTCCAAGTGGCTTTTACAAAGTCACCTCAGCAGTAAGAGGCAGAACTAAGACTCAAACCTATGTCTTCCACCTCTAAGGCCAGTCATCTTTCTACTATAAAGCACCTGTCCTCTGTAACAAGTGTTATTTGCTTACATTTTCTTTATTTCTTTACTTTTTAAAAACCTTTTTAGCAATATTCCTTTTGGAAATTTTAAACTAAATTTCAGCATTGCTTAGCTTTCATAGAAAAACTCTGTTCTGTGGAAGCCATGGAGCTATTTAAGGCTTGGAGGATTTCCCATAACAAAGTACCACCAACTGGGTGGCTTACACTACAGAAACTTATTGTCTCGCAGCTCTGGAGGCCAGAAGTCCAAGATCAAGGTGTTGATAGAGTTGGCTCCTTCTGAGGGCTGTGAGGAAAGGGTCTGTTCCAGGCCTCTCTCCTTGACTTGTAGATGGCTGGGTTAATGTTCACACACAGTGTTCTGTGCGTGAGTCTCTGTTTTCAAATGCCTCCTTTTTATAAGAACATTAGTCATATTGGATTAGGGGCCCACCCTACTGCAGCATGACCTTATCTTAACTAATTACATCTGCAATGACCCTATCTTCAAATAAGGTCACTTTCTGAGATACCCGGGGTGAGAAGTCCAACATATATTTATTGGAAGACACAATGCAACTCACAGCAGAAGGTATCCTAGAAATCACTATAAAATGGACATTACCATAAAACGCCATTATCCCCCTTTTTTTCTACCTAATACGTTTGCTCACAAGACAAGAATGCACGTAAACATGTTAACATGTATGTTTGAGCATGTGCATGGATATGCACATATAGCACAAACAAAGAAGGGGTAGTTAACTAAGGCAACAAGGCAGCATGACCTACCAGACTCACACACTGGGTGATGAGGTTAAAGAATATCTGTAGCAATCCTCATTTTTCTACTTTTATTCTCTCTCTCTCTCTTTTTTTTTTTTTGAAATGGAGTCTCGCTCTGTCGCCCAGGCTGGAGTGCAGTGGCTCTGTCTCGGCTCACTGCACACTCCGCCTCCCGGTTTCACACCATTCTCCTACCTCAGCCTCCCAAGTAGCTGGGACTACAGGCGCCCACCACCACGCCCAGCTAAATTTTTATATTTTTAGTAGAGATGGGGTTTCACCATGTTAACCAGGACGGTCTCGATCTCCCGACCTTGTGATCCACCCGTCTCGGCCTCCCAAAGTGCTGGGATTACAGGCGTGAGCTACCGCACCGGGCCTCTAGTTTTATTCTCAAAATGCTCTCTAAAAAAAAAGAACCTGAAGATGGTAATTCAGACAGAACTGTTCACTGTCAGTGCAGAAATGTATGCCTCCCAGAAGGATGTGCATGTTACAGAGGATCCCCCTGAACAGGGGATGATGGCTAGCACACAGGAATGCATTATTAATGATGAAATTGCAGTCTCCACCAAATAAATACTAAGGGAAATATTTGGCTGGGGGAGGGCAGTCTTCCCAGCTTTCTGGAATAATGGAGTCTGCCTGGCCACAAAAGGCCCCCACCCCATTCATCACTCAAAGCTGGCTTTGCTTCTGGGGAGAGAGGCTTTCCCCACCCAATTATGCTCCATGCTTCCAGTTAGACTGCCAGGCATACATTCCCCTGGGCACTGGCCTTCTCCAATTTCCAAAGAGAAAACACTTTCAACTGTCAGAAAGATGAACTTGACTCTGTCAATTGTGAAAAATAAGTCATAGTTCTATTTGGGAGTTTTTTGGACAATATAAGTGTACAAATTTATCATCAAGAAAGAAAATAAAACACAAGTGTGCTTCTCCCACCCACCTCCTCCCTCCTTATTGTTCCCCAAACATCTGCTCAATGCACAGCTCTAGTGCCGGCCATGACCGACCCCATTCAGCGTGCCCAGACTCATCGCTCCTGGTGAGTTTCCGGGAACCTCAGTATACATTTTTTAAAAATCACAGTGCTTGTGATTAGCTGCTCCAGTCACACCTGCTGTCTGGAGTTGTACACATTGTTAAGACGTTGTGGCCCTATAACCTTCAGAAACAATCTAGCGCAGGTGCTACCAACAGAGCCCATCTCTGGGGCTCAGTGGAATTACAATGACCTGCAGAAGTGTGCACCAGGGGCCTCTAATCAGGTCAGAGCTGATTGCTCCACAGCCTAGAAACATGTTGTAAATATATATTGCAGACACATCGGAGAGCCCACTCCTAGGCAGTGAGGGGGCTGCCTGCTCTGCCTACAGCTTTAACAGGCAAGACCCAGGGCTGGGTCTCACACGTTCTCTAGGCAAGTACCTGCAGCTCCTTTAAGATGTGCATGTCTCACTGCTAAGCTTGGGCCACTCGCAGAAGAGTTTTGTTAGTAATTTTCAACCCAACCTAAACATCACCATGAAGTCCATGGGGATCTCCGATAGGTAATGGAAGGGGGATGGCCTGAACCCTGACCTCAGTAAGTGGGACAAACACGAGGGTCTTTTCTCACCTCTTTTCTCTTTATTATACTCCACTTCTGCAGATTCATAGCCAGAGATCACAGGAGGGTTTGGCTTTGTTTTTTTTTAAGTCATAAGGTACCAAATGAGACTCAGCTGAGCCAGTCTAATGCAGACAGTTATCTCCAGACTGTGAGACCAAGCTGGAGCCCAGATTAGCAAGCCTCACAGACTCCGCACCAAAGGCCTGGGAAATGCTCTCTTCCCTGATCTCGAGGGACATGACCTTCTTTTCATTCCTGTGGTCACAAATAGACATAAGGCTATTAACCTTATTAGGCCTAAGATGTGTCTAGCTTGGGAGAGATATGCAAAGAGCTCTGAGATTTCTTCAGCATCGGCTGGCCTGCAAATCCTAGGATGCCATTTTTAAAGGGGGCTGTCTGTGGCTATTTGTGGCAAAGGCTGAGATAATTTCAGATAGCACTAGATACTAAAAGAGGAAGTGATTGCGTGGTTTAAGCCTGGACACAGGTTGAAGAATAGCCCAAGTGAAGTCTCTCTGTGGCATTGACTACCTCTGCCTGCTCTTGAGGAATTTGTCAGCTGCCATTCACCTGCCATTTTTCTGGGAGCTCAGGGCCATCATAGGTGCTGGGTAGAAACAGGCAAGACCTCAGTAACCATGGCAGAGGTCCTAGCAGCCTCTCTCAGCCTTTCTCCACCTGCCAGGGGTTCTGGCAGAGAATTAAGCTCCTACAGAAAATTATTTGAGTGGTTATGTTTTTTCAGTATTCCTAGAATACTCCATGGCTAGTGCTACTCTAGAGACCTAGGAGAGACATTAATACACTAGATACCTGAGGGCATCGGGGCTTAATTCTCCCAGGGAATCCCAGGTGAGAAAGATACGTTGTGTAACTTGATTGTCCAGTTTTCTGGTGGCCCTACTACTTCGACTACTTCAATGACAAGAAACTGCAGAGACAACCTTCTGGCTTCTGTGCATCGGTGGGATGTGCCACTTAGGGAGTGGAAGCAGGTACATGTGAAAAGACATTTGGACTGTAACTTGCTGGGACACTCCTGTTTCTAGATAAGCATCCAGCTCCCATTTGGCCACTGAGAGACGTGCTGAAGGAGTGAGCTACGCTTAGCTCAGCTTTGTATGGGTGCTTTTTCATTCCAGGGCGTATGCCTAGTTATTAATAGCTTATGCCGGGTGTGGTGTCTCCCTAATCCCATCACTTTAGCCTGCATTGCTAGTCTCTGTGTTCCAGTCCATAGCAGGCTCTCATTGGCACATCTGGGTCTAGGGGTGCTTGGCCAGAAGAATAATCCACTGTTCCCAAGCCACAGCTTCATGCGCTGAATAACACTCTGACTTAAAGAGCTGGATATGTCGATTTTGCTTCTTTCTGACAATGAAGATTAGTTCTTGCGAAAGTTAATGTTTCATCTCATGGAATACAGAGAAACGGGGAGGACAATTTAGCAATAATACATCTGGGTGGGGAAGAATCAAGTTAATCTCTTGCTAAGCCTAGGAGAGATTTGGGTGGGGGAAGGGCAGGAAAGAGACCAAAACATACATTCAGAAGTAAAAAAGAGTCAAAGAGAAGATGTAGCATGTCAGTATAAAAACTATGTGGATTATCTTTCTCCAGTTATAAAGGTCAGTATTACTTCTCTAAATTACACTGGATTCGTCATGTGCAAAAGTAAAACTCATTTTATTAAGAGAGGGCAGGATGAGACTTGCCCTTGGGCGATAGGGTCGCCACGGGTGACACAGGATGCCCTGTTAAACCGGAATTTCAGAAAAACAACAATTTTTAGTGTCACCTTAAGTATATCCTATGCAATATTTGGGACACACTTATACCAAAACTAACCGTTATTTACCTGAAATTCCAGTTTAACTGGGTGTGCTGTATTGTTTTTCTTTTTGCTCAATCTAGCAACTTAGCTTGGAGGACAGACAATAGCAAGTAACGGGGATTTGTCCCGCCTGGGTGTCTGCCACCAGTTTGCCTGTCGTGGAGCTTGCCTGCATTATTTAACATGTCTGTGCTTCCATTCATTCATGTGAAAATTGAAACAAGCGTACTGCCAGGTGGCCATGGACATAGATATGTCCAGGATCTGGTTTCAAAGCAGTTCAAAAAAAAAAAAAAAAATCAGTCATCAAATACAAGGTTGAAGGACAGAGACCTGTTTCCCGTGTTTGGAGGAGAGGTTGATCCGGATGGATCCGCAGTGATTTTTTTTTTTTTTTTTTTTGAGACGGAATACAGTGGCACCATCTTGGCTCACTGCAACCTCCGCCTCCCAGGTTCAAGTGATTCTCCTGCCTCAACCTCCTGAGTAGCTGAGACTACAGGTGCCCGCCACCATGCCCGGCTAATTTTTTGTATTTTTAGTAGAGATGGGGTTTCACCATGTTAGCCAGGATGGTCTTGATCTCCTGACCTCATGATCCGCCCACCTCGGCCTCCCAAAGTGCTGTGATTACAGGTGTGCGACACCGCGCCCGGCCCGCAGTGATCTTAATGTGCTGATGGATCACTTGTGACTCTCCACTGAGGAGCCACACCCCCTATGTAGGTCCGATGTAGGACCCACAGACCATATCAACATTCAGGGCTGGGGGTTGGGGACTCAAATATGTTCTCCTCACTAGGCAAACCTTGAAATTGCTGAATTGTGCAGTGGGACAGAGTTGTCAGTTGTCTATCTATCTGGGACTGAGGACCTTCAGAAAATAAAGCTTATTTTAAGGGGAGACTCAGACTCAATGAGCTTGACTCCGTAAGGAACCTTTACTTCAAGGAGGGAAGAAGAATTGTTTTCGTATTTTTTTGGTGGAGACGGGGTTTCGCTGTGTTGGCCTGGCCGGTCTCCAGCTCCTAACTGCGAGTGATCCGCCAGCCTCGGCCTCCCGAGGTGCCGGGATTGCAGACGGAGTCTCGTTCACTCAGTGCTCAATGGCGCCCAGGCTGGAGTGCAGTGGCGTGATCTCGGCTCGCTACAACCTCCACCTCCCAGCCGCCTGCCTTGGCCTCCCAAAGTGCCGAGATTGCAGCCTCTGCCCGGCCGCCACCCCGTCTGGGAAGTGAGGAGCGTCTCTGCCTGGCCGCCCATCGTCTGGAATGTGAGGAGCCCCTCTGCCTGGCTGCCCAGTCAGGGAAGTGACGAGCGTCTCTGCCTGGCCGCCATCCCATCTAGGAAGCGAGGAGCGCCTCTTCCCGGCCGCCATCCCATCTAGGAAGTGAGGAGCGTCTCTGCCCGGCCGCCCATCGTCTGAGATGTGGGGAGCACCTCTGCCCCGCCACCCTGTCTGGGATGTGAGGAGCGCCTCTGCCTGGCTGCCCAGTCTGGAAAGTGAGGAGCGTCTCTGCCCGGCCGCCATCCCATCTAGGAAGTGAGGAGCGTCTCTGCCCGGCCACCATCCCATCTAGGAAGTGAGGAGAGCCTCTTCCCGGCCGCCATCCCATCTAGGAAGTGAGGAGCGTCTCTGCCTGGCCGCCCATCGTCTGAGATGTGGGGAGCGCCTCTGCCCTGCTGCCCCGTCCGGGATGTGAGGAGCGTCTCTGCCTGGCAGCCGCCTGGTCTGAGAAGTGAGGAGCCCCTCCACCCAGCAGCCACCCCGTCTGGGAAGTGAGGAGCGTCTCTGCCCGGCAGCCACCTCGTCTGGGAGGGAGGCGGGGGGGTCAGCCCCCCACCCGGCCAGCCGCCCCGTCCGGGAGGGAGGTGGGGGGATCAGCCCCCCGCCCGGCCAGCCGCCCCGTCCGGGAGGTGAGAGGCACCTCTGCCCGGCCGCCCCTACTGGGAAGTGAGGAGCCCCTCTGCCCGGCCAGCCGCCCCGTCCGGGAGGGAGGTGGGGGGGTCAGCCCCCCGCCCGGCCAGCCGCCCCGTCCGGGAGGGAGGTGGGGGGGTCAGCCCCCCGCCCGGCCAGCCGCCCCGTCCGGGAGGGAGGTGGGGGGATCAGCCCCCCGTCCGGGAGGTGAGAGGCACCTCTGCCCGGCCGCCCCTACTGGGAAGTGAGGAGCCCCTCTGCCCGGCCAGCCGCCCCGTCCAGGAGGGAGGTCGGGGGGTCAGCCGCCCCGTTCAGGAGGTGAGGGGCGCCTCTGCCCGGCCGCCCCTACTGGGAAGTGAGGAGCCCCTCTGCCCGGCCAGCCGCCCCGTCCGGGAGGTGTACCCAACAGCTCATTGAGAACGGGCTATGATGACAATGGCGGTTTTGTGGAATAGAAAGGGGGGAAAGGTGGGGAAAAGATTGAGAAATCGGATGGTTGCCGTGTCTGTGTAGAAAGAGGTAGACATGGGAGACTTTTCATTTTGTTCTGTACTAAGAAAAATTCTTCTGCCTTGGGATCCTGTTGATCTGTGACCTTACCCCCAACCCTGTGCTCTCTGAAACATGTGCTGTATCCACTCAGGGTTGAATGGATTAAGGGCGGTGCAAGATGTGCTTTGTTAAACAGATACTTGAAGGCAGCATGCTCGTTAAGAGTCATCGCCACTCCCTAATCTCAAGTACCCAGGGACATAAACACTGTGGAAGGCCGCAGGGTCCTCTGCCTAGGAAAACCAGAGGTCCTTTGTTCACTTGTTTATCTGCTGACCTTCCCTCCACTATTGTCCTGTGACCCTGCCAAATCCCCCTCTGCGAGAAACACCCAAGAATGATCAATTAAAAAAAAAAAAAAAAAAAGAATTCTGAGAACAAGGAATGGCTACTTGGATTTCATCCCTGGCCCAGGGTCTGAGAGCTGGAGAGTTAATAACAAAAAGTGCTGGAAAGTGCTGTCCTCTCTATGCCTCCCCACCCCCACAGAAAACTCTACTAAGGCACAAGTAGCACCTTCAGGACTAACCTTGCTGAGAGTGGCACAAAGGGGAGCGTGGCATTCTCCCTGCTTTCGCCGTGAACTCCCCAGAGTCCTCCAGTGCCCACAGTGCATGGCAGTCCACAGTGATCCTAGGGAGCACATCTTTCTCCTCTTCGTGTTGCTGTCTGTATGCAGGGGCTCAAGTGTGGGAGCCAAAGGGGCCTGACAGAGACAGGGGAGTCCAGCAAACTTCAGCCCCTGCAGAGCAGCTGCAGTTCCCAGGGAGTGCGGAGGTGCCAGTTAGACAAGGCAGTGCTGACCGAGCGTGGTGCCAGCACCTGGGACAACTTTACGGTGGCAGGCAGTGCCCTTGACTGCAGAGTCAGCACCAAGGACTGGATGTGGTACACATGTCCCCAGCTCTCCAGGGGACCCTGAACCTGCCTCACGCACAGCAGGTGCTCAGTGAGTGGATGAAGGAATTGACTTGAGTGATGTTCACAAAAGGAGCATGAAGCATCCAGCTATGGAGATGAGACACAGGGAAATAGATGAGGCCGACTTTTCTTTTCTTTTCTTTTTTGTCTGTAATTTCTAAACTGTGGCTAAAGAAAATGCCAGTATTTGGTTTAATTCCCATCTGGCACCTTTTTCAGCGGTAAATTGATTTCAGTGTTTTTTTTTTTTTTAAAGTCTCATCACGAAGCTTCTATAGTTAGGTATAATTCATCAAGGTTTAGAATTAGCCCAAATTTCTCTAAATCCTTCTTTATTTTTTCACACAAGGCTTCATGATTGTTGGTTTGGAACATTAAGATGCAAATGATAGAGGAAGCGTTACACATTTAAATGTGCAGGGTTGGTGTGGCATTAAGCTGTTCTGGAAAAGAACCACAATCCTCCTCCGGTTTGTTAAGATGGAAAAAATGGGAGAGTGGTGAAAAGGGAGGAAATGTTAGATTTATCTCGATTCATGCTTTGTAGGTCAAGGTGAAAGAAAAGACTATAAGCTTTTCAAGACCTAATCACTGACAGACACGCCTAGCAAAGATCCTGCCTTACCCAGCCAAAGCAGAAAGACCATGGAGGGATTGGAGACAAGAATGGTCTGTTTCCCACTGAGCCCTTAAACTGAGGTCTCCCTGGCCCATCCGTCACTTTCCCTTGGAGAGTTGGTGTGCGTTCCTAACAGAGTGTGTGTTTCCTCCTAAGAGAATTAAAAGTGACAAGATGAGGAGTAATGACATCATGACAGAGGCCAGGCAGTTCCAAATGTGTTCTCCCCAAGGTATGCCACTGCCCAATGTCCATTGTGACTTGGCTCACATCTTCCTCCCTTTTCCTACCTTTCCTCAGTGTCTCTTCTCCTTCCTCCTCCTTCCTCCTCCCTTTTGCCCCTCCCCTCCCCCTTTTCTTCTCTCCCTCTTCCCTTCTCCTCTTTCTCCCCATCATGCTCTCCCATCCCTTTCCCCTCCCCCTCCTTCTTCTGTCCTCCCCTTACCCTTCTCTACCATCTTCCTCCCTTCCCCTCCCTCATCTTCTGGCTCTCCTTCTTCTTCTCTCCTTCCCTCCTTCTTCTCTTTTTCTCCCTCATGTCTCCCCCTTCCCCTGCCCTCCCCTTCCTCCTCCGGTCTTCGCCTGCCTGTCCCACAGTGGCTGAGCCGCCCTGCCCTCTGGCCTGAAGCTCTGACTCCACCTTCTCCATCCCAATCCTCCCCGCCAGAGCCACACACACACATTTGCCCCGGGCTTGGTGCTGGCTTCTCTGAAATCCACCCACCTTGGGAAGGATGAGCCACGTGTTTTTGGGCCTCGGGGCCTTTGAGCATGAGCTGTAAAGAAGGATGAGTGTTTCCGTTTGACTTTGAGCCAAGCTCAGTGGGGAGGAGCGCTTCACCTGTAACGTGCTTGACTTGCCTGGCAAAAGGGCAGCAGGAACCCTGCCCTGCTCTGCCCACCTAAGCCCAAAGGATAGAAGGAGGGCAAGTCTTTTCTCGTGTGGCCGCCCTGGCCTGAGGACATTGCTGGTAGTCTTGTCAGTCCTTCCTGGTCTGTCTCTTTGCGTGGAGAGAGGGATGGCCTAAAGTTGGGAGGCTGAAATGGAGGAAGTTTGGTGATGTCACAGAGGCAGTGTGGTTCAGTAAAACCGGGGTGCTGGCATCGCCACTGTAGCTATGGGCGAGACACCTAACCTCCCTGAGGGCCAGCCCCTCCTTGTCAGGTGGGGTTATGAAGCTCCCCTGTTGAACGTTGTTGGGGTGAGGACATCAGATGTGGTAGAGCAGGAAGAGGCGCTGTCTCCTTTCTTGTGGAGACTTCTCAGAGAAATCATTTCCGCTTACCTATTGACAAAGGGGTTTACCAGAAGGTCAAAAGGGGGCTAGGCCCCAAATCATTCCTTTTCTGGTTTCCTCCTCTCTGGGGGCACTGGGCTTTCATGAATAAGCTCTCCTGCGGCTCTGTCACCAGACAGGCTCTTTCTGCTCCTGGATGGTTGCAGGCCCCATGACTGCCTGGTGTACCATTCTCCCTGGGCTTTCCTGTTCTCTGTCCATTTCAAAATTCTCAGCTTTTGCTCCCACAGCTGACAAGCTCCCTCTCCTCCTTTGCTGGGTGTGTCTTACTCACATTTCCAAGAGGCTGCCTCTGCATGTCACTGTGCCACAGTATTGGCACCCAGTCAGGGGCAAAGCCCCGGCCAAGCCAGCATTGGAAGAAGGGAGGGGTCCTGAGACATGGCTGCCTCGGCCAACTGTTCAGCAGATGCTGTGGGAGGCCCCTTCTCCCCAGCAGGCCTGGGGGTGGTCAGTGATTGACAACTCTACCCACAAGGCAGAGGGACTGAAACCAGAACCACAGAGAAGGCAAGCAGCCTGCTTAGAGACCAGAGAAAAGCCTGCACTTCGCTTCTATTGCATCTCAAGTGTGATAAGAGCACATAGCTTCTCCAAGTCCTCTGAGCCAGTGGAGGGACTGAGCTAACATTATGATGTCCCTAGATGAGTAGGCGGTGGCAATTTGTGCTTTTTTATTTGGCAATAATATTTAACAAGACATTTGGGTCAGTGGGATCAATTAGACCACACTAGAACTAATTAGAAGTGCTGTATTTGATTATAAACTCCCAAAAGGGTACTCATGGTGGCCAGAGTTATTTTTGTGTGCAGGACTTTAAAGAGGGGAACCCTTTGTTCAACAAGGGTGCATACTGAGAGCACAGCCAACTTGTTGGGGCACTAGGTGCTATTGCAGGGGAGGCAGAGATCCCCTCCAACCTCCTTAAGCTCTTATGAGGGCTCTTTGGCTGGATCTAGAAACCAAATTGACACCAGGCAGATTAACAAGAGAAAAACATACAAATTGCATGAGTTTTCCATGTGCATGGAGATCTTCAGAGGAGAGTGAAGTCTGAAGAAGTGGCCAAAGCCAGATGCTTTTGGACTCTTTAGACAAATAATGACAATTTCAAGAAGTGACAGGACAAAGAAAATCGGGCTAGGGCAGTAAATTTTCTAGGAGAGTCATTAGGAGAGATACAGGGGCAGGTGGAGGAGTGTAAAACAGATGGGAGATAAGGGTTACTGTGTAATATTTGTTCATTCAGGTCCTTTGCAGCCCCCACTTCCCAGTCTCTGGTGCTAAGGGCTATTTTCACATGCTAATATGGCAATGGCCCCCGCTCCCACCACCCGACCAGGAGAAATCTTTATGCTTACTGAACGCAGGAAAAGACAAGTCAGCTGACCCTTTCTGAAACGAAATTTCTCCAATGTTTTCAGCTCTAAATCATCAATCCGGCATATTTTTGTATGACATGTCCTTCACTCCTTCACTATCCAGCATGATTATAAAATCCACTCCTGTGTCCTTCGGGGGCTTCAGATTCAGCTGGGGAGACAGAAAATCAGGAGAATTCTTCCAAGAAAGACTATTCTGCATAATATAGCAAGTAGAAGTTGGAGAGCTAGGAACAGCATGAGAGGGTGGGGAGAGGAACAGAGGTGAGAGAGAGATAAAGTGTGAGCCAGTAAGATGCCAGCGAGCTGAGCACTGCAATGTGGACCCAGCCCCCAAGCCTTGCTGAAGTCTACTAATCTCATGGATTTTTGCATGAGGGATTTTTGTTGCTGTTGTGTGGTGGTGATGGTTGGCACCATAAGGTGTTCATCTGGTATGTTATAGAAAGAGCAAGAGGAAGCAAGGTCCAAGAGGCAGATGGAGCCACCTCACTTTCCACCTGCTATGATTTGAACATTTGTCCCCTCCAAAACCCATGTTGAAATTTAATCCTCAATGACTATTGAGAGGTGAGGTCTTTACAAGGTGATTGGGTCATGAGCCCTGTTTCCACATGAATAGATTAATGGGTTAATGGATTACTGAGTTATCATGGGAGTGGGACCAGTGGCTTTATAAGAAAAGGAAGAAAGACCCAAACCAACATGCTCAGCTCCCTCACATGTGATGCCCGTGCCACCTCAGAATGCCACAGGATCCCCACTAGCAAGAAGGTTCTCACCAGATGCAACCCCTTGACCCTTGACCCTGGACCTCTCACCCTCCATAATTGTAGCAAATGAGTTTCTTCCCTGTATAAATTACCCAGTTTAAACTATTCTTTTATAAGCATCAGAAAACAAACTAAAACACCACCCACCCTGAGCTCAGAAACTGGGATAAATTGTTGGGAGTATTTTGACATTCCCCAAATGTGAAATTCAGGGTGCACAACAAGAATTATAGATTAGAAAAGAACTAATTATGGAGTTATGTACATAGGGAATACAGTCCCAGCACCCTATCTTTGTACCATACATTGTTTCTTACAAAGAGACCTTACAACCTAGCACGTCAGTTAGAAATACTGGTAGATGGCTTATTAAACGCTCATGAATCGGTTTACGTGATTTATTTCATTGAATCATCACAGCAACATCGTGCAGTATGTATTGTTATTAACTGCTCCCCACTGCCCCTCTGCCCCAGTTTTACCGATGTGGGGAGTAAAGTGCAAGGACGTTGGATGGTGCCATGGAGCCCGCAGCTGGTCACTGGTGGCGAGATGAGCGCCAACACAGGCATAGTGAGTCTGGAATGAGCATTCCTCACCTGCGCCACACACTGCCTCTTTATATGGCCCTGACATCACATGACACAGACCAAGCTGTGCTGCAGAACCATCCCTGTCTTTCCCTCCAACCACTGGCAGAGAATTCAATCTGACATTCTGACATTGCCCAGTCATCATGGTGTCCCCACACCAAGGGCAGTATCCTGCCCAAAGGAGCTCAGCAACTTGTTGCAGGGGTGAGGTTAGCAGGTAGGTTTTAACTACTCTCAGAAAAGTTTCCAGACAAGAGGCTTTATACCCCAGCACATCCAGGTCTTTATCATAAGCCACTGAAAGCACACACTGTGTCTAAGATGCTGCATCTGAGATTCTCCAGAGGAGAGGGCATTGGTCATCTGCACGAGGTGTCAGGCTGGGGAAGTAAGATTTCTATTTTATCATGATGTCTTTTAAGATACTAAGTCCAGGAATGCCGTCTCAAATCCTATTGGAAGAAAAAGGCAAGAGATAAATACATTTCAATAGGGAAAGGAAACATGCAGGAACAGTTATGGAGAAACCCTGTCATGTTATATGCACCCTATGATGACTGCCCATGTTACTGATTTTGTAACATAAAGTAGAATGTATCCCCAGTGTTTCTCCTTTTGAAGGGAACAGACCTTTACAGCCAGTATCACACAGAAAGAAGCCTTGGTTCACAGAGTCCATGTGTGTGTCTCATGTTTTTGAGCCAAGCCACACCATGGCCCCCAGAGTCCTCGTGTCCTGCACAGCTGAAGGAGCTGGAATTGGCACAGCTGAGAGTACAGGTGAAGCCTCACCTGGCAAGACCGGCCCTCTATTCATGTCCTGCTTTTTGTGTGAGGTAGAAGGGGGACATTGGTCATGCTGGCCCCATAGACTTGGGTCTATAGCCAGTTAACAGCTGTTCCCTTGAGAACCCACTCATCCAGAAGGAATAGCTCAGTCTGAGCATCAGCCTTCTGGTGCCCTAGCTTGTTTGTTCTCCTCCCCAGCTCCGAGTGGTGTTCAAGAGAGAGGAAAATGTGAAGCTGTTAAGCATTTGGGGAAGAGGCATAGAGCCATCAGACTAGGGGCAAGGAGAACCATCAGACTAGGGGGCTAGGGACAGGGGTAAAGAGAGCTATCAGGCTAGGTGCAGGAAGAGTCATTAGACCACCAGAGTAAGTAAGGAGAGCCATGAGACTTGGGGCAGAGCGAGCCATCAGACTATTTTAGCTCAGTGTACAGATATGACCTCACTCTTAGATTATTCCAGCATATAGAAATTAGAACTTATCAAATGGTCATTAAGATGTAGTATATATCTTTAGGAAAGCCAGCTCAAAGTAGATAAATCTAGAAGTCAATTGAAAATATGATTTGATTTTTTAAAAACTGCACTTGCACATAATCTTTAAGGAGATATTTGAAACAGGTTGTTCTATATACCATCAGTTCTTCCACACCATTCTGTATCATGAAATGACAGACAGCCTGAAAGAGACACTTCTAACAAAAGGCACAGGCCCCAGGAAAACCCATGAAATCTAGGTGTAGGCAAATATCTGTGTTTATGCATATATATGCATGTATTTATATATAAAAGAGAGTAAGTTTATGGGATTTAAAACTTAAAAAATACTAATCTAGACAATTGAACTATGCAGACAGACAGAAAGTGTGAGATTTTCCCTTCAATTTTTCACAAATTTCTCCTTGAATTATTTAAGCTCAGCATTTCTAACTATGAGTCAAAATACCAGCTTGGTGCAAATTTCTTTGATGCAGGTTGTGAATCATTCTATGAGACAATGTCTGTGAAGCTCTACAAACTCCCCCTAAATCAAATATACTTATTTATTGATAATATTCACATGAAATTCTTCTCAAAACCAAAAGTGACTGGTGTTTCCTGTGTACCCAGCTGCTGTATATCCATTCTTCAGAGTATCTTCATCTAGATTACATTAAGAAGTTGTCTCCAGACCCATCAACCATTCCCCGCTAACTGTGCCTCATGAGTTCCAGAATTTGAGGAGAATCAGTGGGATATGGATACCATTTGGGTCATTTGTAAAAGCAGCATGCTTTGACCACCTCTGCTCCAGGCCTTCCCCTGAAGCCATGAGACACCCTTCTTTCTCCAGTGGAATGGGACATAACTATTGCGCTTGGCTTTCCATCCCTTTCCTCATCCAATCCCTGCCCCTGCCCACCTGATTGTCCGGGACACACAGAGTTCTCAAGGAAGCCTGCCCCTCCTTGAGTGTGTGTGACATAGGATAAGAGAATGTAGCTTTTGCCTGGGAAGTGTCCTGAGCACTCAGTGGCTTCCTTTAGCACTTGGCAGTGTTAAGCAACACAGTGACGAGTCAGAGAAATGGCCTGTGTGATGGAGGCTACTCTCATGCATGTGCCTATCTCTGTTAGAGGTCAGGGCATGCTTGAGTTAGAGATCAAAGCCTGCTCAATGCCGGGAAGTATATAGCAGATACAAAGCAGGAAGGATATATTGGATACCAAGCCATCAGTGAGGCAGCTGTTGTGAGCAGGTGAAGTGATCATCAAAATTCAAAATAACTAGGAGACTTGCAGTTTGGGTTTTTTGTTTTTATTTTTAATTTTGTGTAGAGACATGTCTTGCTTTGTTGCCTAGCCTGGTCTCAAACTTCTGGGTTCAAGCAATCCTCCTGCTTCAGCCTCCCAAAGTGCTTGGATTTACAGGTGTGAGCCACCGTGTCCAGCTGACTTCCAGTTTTGTGTAATTGTTTTGAAACAACTGTGTGGGCATTGGTTATTAGGATTGGTTTGTTGCTTTGTTTTTCCAGACTATCTTCTCACCTTAAATTATATCATCCAACTAAGTCTCTTTCCAAGAACCAAGAGATTTCCAAGCCATCTCTTGAAGGGATCAGCTTTTTCTTGCAAAGATGAAGGGAACTGGTATTGGTCTCATCTTGCATGTATCACAGCCCCAGCCCTGGAAGCGAATGTGCCAACAGGACACTGTTATGAGACAGGGCCTGCCTGATCAACTCCTCACTATGACCAGCTGCCTTACTCCTTCAAATTTATTTCTAGAGGAATTTAGAAGTCAGCATTCTGGGAAATGGCATGGTTAATCCCTCTTCAGTCCCAGCCTGCCTGACTAGCCCTACCTCCAGCTACACCCTCAGTCCCTCCATACAGTTGGTCAGTTTCATTCCCACCTCCTTGCATCTTTTTATGATATTTCTTTCCCCTTTTCCTGGCATATCTGCTCTTCACCTTCTGCCCGTTTTTCAGGGCCCAAGGAAAGGCTAGCCTCCACTTGCATACATTCCTTGGCTTCTCTGGTCTACAGACATGCTGCTATCGACTCCATGAACACCTATGCTCTGCGTTGCTCATTCTTGCACTTCATTATGGGCAGCCCTGCAGGCTTTGACTTATTTTTTGTCCATTTGAACATATACAACTGAGAAGGGACACTGAGAAAGCCCTGGACAAATATCTATCTGAATTCTTTTTGAGTTAATAGAAATCATCTACAGGTCTTGTCTATACAAATGGTCTGTAGGCAAAGTGAATACCAGAGTTGTACATTCTTTTTTTTTTTTTTTTTTTTGAGACGGAGTCTCGCTCTGTCACCCAGGCTGGAGTACAGTGGCGCGATCTTGGCTCACTGCAAGCTCCGCCTCCTGGGTTCAGGCCATTCTCCTGCCTCAGCCTCCTGAGTAGCTGGGACTACAGGAGCCCGCCACTATGCCTGGCTAATTTTTTGTATTTTTAGTAGAGACGGGGTTTCACCGTGTTAGCCAGGATGGTCTCTATCTCCTGACCTCATGATCTGCCCACCTCGGCTTCCCAAAGTGCTGGGATTACAGGCGGGGCCAGTTGTAATTGAAGGCAATTACATTCTTGAAGGCAAAGTTTCTGTCTGCTTCATCTTTGAAACTCCCAGAGTATCTAGTCTTGACTCAAGAATCAGTTGACATTGCATATAATTTAATACTTACCATCATTGATTTCAATACTTAACTGAAACTCAACCTTGAGAATTTCCTCCTCTACAGAACAAATCCCATTTCAGATTCCTCATCAGTGTCTCATCTGAAATATGGGGATGATAATGCTACGTAACCACATAGAGTTACAGAGTGTGTTACATTAATTCTACATGTAAAATACTCAGTAAATTGAATTCCTAGGTATTTCATTCTCTTTGAAGCAATTGTGAATGGGAGTTCACTCATGATTTGGCTCTCTGTTTGTCTGTTGTTGGTGTATAAGAATGCTTGTGATTTTTGCACACTGATTTTGTATCCTGAGACTTTGCTGAAGTTGCTTATCAGCTTAAGGAGATTTTGGGCTGAGATGATGGGGTTTTCTAGATATACAATCATGTCATCTGCAAACAGGGACAATTTGACTTCCACTTTTCTTAACTGAGTACTCTTTATTTCCTTCTCCTGCCTGATTGCCCTGGCCAGACTTCCAACACTATGTTGAATAGGAGTGGTGAGAGAGGGCATCCCTGTCTTGTGCCAGTTTTCAAAGGGAATGCTTCCAGTTTTTGCCCATTCAGTATGATATTGGCTGTGGGTTTGTCATAAATAGCTCTTATTATTTTGAGATACATCCTATCAATACCTAATTTATTGAGAGTTTTCAGCATGAAGGGCTGTTGAATTTTGTCAAAGGCCTTTTCTGCATCTATTGAGATAATCATGTAGTCAAGGAGAACTACAAACCACTGCTCAACGAAATAAAAGAGGACACAAACAAATAGAAGAACATTCCATGCTCATGGATAGGAAGAATCAATATCATGAAAATGGCCATACTGCCCAAGGTAATTTATAGATTCAATGCCATCCCCATCAAGCTACCGATGACTTTCTTCACAGAACTGGAGAAAACTACTTTCAAGTTTATATGGAACCAAAAAAGAGCCTGCATTGCCAAGACAATCCTAAGCCAAAAGAACAAAGCTGGAGGCATCACGCTACCTGACTTCAAACCATAATACAAGGTTATAGTAACCAAAACAACATGGTACTGGTACCAAAACAGAGATATAGACCAATGGAACAGAACAGAGCCCTCAGAAATAATACCACACATCTTCAACCATCTGATCTTTGACAAACCTGACAAAAACAAGAAATGGGGAAAGGATTCCCTATTTAATAAATGGCGCTGGGAAAACTGGCTAGCCATATGTAGAAAGCTGAAACTGGATCCCTTCCTTACACCTTATACAAAAATTAATTCAAGATGGATTAAAGACTTAAATATTAGACCTAAAACCATACAAACTCTAGAAGAAAATCTAGGCAATAGCATTCAGGACATAGGCATGGGCAAGGACTTCACGTCTAAAACACCAAAAGCAATGGCAACAAAAGCCAAAATTGAGAATGGGATCTAATTAAACTAAAGAGCTTCTACACAGCAAAAGAAACTATCATCAGAGTGAACAGGTAACCTACAGAAAGGGAAAAAATATTTGCAATCTACTCATCTGACAAAGGGCTAATATCCAGAATCTACAAAGAACTCAAACAAATTTACAAGAAAAAAACAAACAACCCATCAAAAAGTGGGCAAAGGATATGAACAGACACTTCTCAAAAGAAGACATTTATGCAGCCAACAGACACATGAAAAAATGCTTATCATCACTGGCCATCAGAGAAATGCAAATCAAAACCACAATGAGATACCGTCTCACACCAGTTAGAATGGTGATAATTAAAAAGTCAGGAAACAACAGGTGCTGGAGAGGATGTGGAGAAATAGGAACACTTTTACACTGTTGGTGGGATTGTAAACTAGTTCAACCATTGTGGAAGAGAGTGTGGTGATTCCTCAAGGATCTGGAACTAGAAATACCATTTGACCCAGCCATCCCATTACTGGGTATATACCCAAAGGATTATAAATCATGCTACTATAAAGACACATGCACACGTATGTTTATTGTGGCACTATTCACAATAGCAAAGACTTGGAACCAACCCAAATGTCCATCAATGATAGACGGGATTAAGAAAATGTGGTACATATACACCATGGAATACTATGCAGCCATAAAAAAGGATAAGTTCATGTCCTTTGTAGGGACATGGATGAAGCTGGAAACCATCATTCTGAGCAAGCTATTGCAAGGACAAAAAACCAAACACCACATGCTCTTACTCATAGATGGGAACTGAACAATGAGAACACTTGGACACAGGAAGGGGAACATCACACACCGGGGCCTGTGGTGGGGTGGGGGGAGGGGAGAGGGATAGCATTAGGAGATATACCTAGTGTAAATGATGAGTTAATGGGTGCAGCACACCAACGTGGCACATGTATACATATGTAACAATCCTGCATGTTGTGCACATGTACCCTAGAACTTAAAGTAAAATAAAATAAAAAATAAAAATAAAAATACTCAGTAAAATGCAAGGCACTGCATAAAGTAAGTACTCAATCAATTTAACTAGTATTATTATTGCTCCTTCTGATTCTTGGTTGACTTCTTATAACAAACCACCTGCCTAACCTCCCTGTTTCATATTTCTATGCAACTGAGGGCTTTTTGTTTGTCTTTTGTTTTATTTTTTATAAATTTTAGGCTCAAGCAATCCTCCTACATCGGCCTGCTCAGTAGCTGGGATTGCAGGCATGAGTCATAGTGCCCACAGCTGAAGTTTGATTGTGCATCATCTAGGTCAATAAAAGGACATCCATACTGTATTAGTCCATTCTAAGACTGCTATGAAGACATACCTGAGACTGAGTAATTTATAAAGAAAAGAGGTTTAATCAGCTCATGGTTCTGTGGGCTGTACAGGCATCTCCTTCTTGGGAGGCCTCAGGAAACTTACAGTCATGATGGAATGTAAAGGAAAAGCAAGCACATCCTCACATGGCCGACAGGAGACAGTGGCAGGAGGTGCTACACGCTTTCAAACAACCAGATCTCATGAGAACTCTATCATGAGAGAGCACTAGGGGGATGGTGATAAACCATTAGAAACCACCCACGTAATCCAATCACCTCCCACCAGGCCCCACCTCCAACACTGGAAATTACAATTCAACATGAGATTTGGGTGGGGACACAGAGCCAAACAATGTCACGTAATTTAGAAATTTTGGGTCTAATCATTCTTCTAGGAATGTTTAAAACTGGAAGTTTTGAGGGTGTATCAGATCTCTGAAGACTAGAGAGCTTAGTGGGATCTTTGAGGGTGTTCAGATGCAAGTATTCTTTATTTACTTGGCTTAAGAACCTAAGCCTTTGGTTCTTGGATAGCCTGTAGATCCTTTAAGTTGTGAATGATGTCCTTACTCCTAATGTCATCATCAAATATGATGTCCCGTCTTCTGGACTTCCTGTTGCGAGGCAGCATGGCTTGGTAATTGTAAGCTGTATTTTGGCACCAGCTGGCCATTCCATTTTGTCCCCTTCGAGTAGAGCTAGAGAATAAGAATATTGCTCTTTGATGGACAATTATCATTTGTCCAGACACATTCAACTACACGACTCTGTGGAAAAATCTGATGCCGTATTCAAAACAAGGACAATTATCTCACTGTTGGATTGGATGTAATAGACCCAGTGGGAGTCTTAGGTCTGAGTCATTTAACACAGGGCTCTTCACTGGGACATTTTATATTTGAAGGCAGAGAGACATAGACATAGACACATCTATGAATGGACAAAAGCCGTTGACTGAGGGACATGGTTTCTCCAGTTGCCTTTCTGGCTAACTTGCTTTGGATCTCTAGAGCCCCGGAGCACACACTTGTAAAACCGAGGCTGGCTGCTCAGGTGTCACCCTTCACCAAGATTGATATGTGGAAGGTCAGGGAGGAGCAGGTGCCCTGTGGAAAAAGGAGAGCTGAGAAGATGTAACTACATAGGAATTCCTCTTTTAAAAAATGAAATTACCATCTTTGCTTGAATGTTTTTAATCCCTGTTCACCCCACGTAGAGTTTAGTAAAAGAGGAAAAGGATCCATATGAAATCCTGATTTCCATGTCCCAACCTCAGCCACATCAGTCCTAATTTGCTGGCGAGGAAGGGCCATGAATAATGAAGCTGGCCAGCCCTTGCCTTTAGGTCTCAAGCTGGATTCCCAGGTAGAAAGAAAGGGGAAAGAGGAAACTGAACCAAGGATAGGCTGCGGGCTTTTTAATGGCCTTGTTGCCTGCGGGGTTAGGCTTTGCCACCTAACCTGAGTGTTTCTTTTTAATTACTGCGGGGCCATGGTGAGAGCAATGCTGTGTTGTTCTATGGCTGCTTAGGTGACTGTGGCTCCCTGTGGGGTGAGGAGAGGCAGGAGACAGGTGGAAGGGGCCAGCCAGCTGTGCCCATGCAGCTGGAGCTTTGGTCATCCTTTGAAAAACTCCTGCAGCATCTTCAGAGTAGAATACAAAACTGAGAACTTCTGGCTGAGTTGGAAACACCCGGTCAGGGTATCTGGACACAGGGAAGAGCCTGCATAGTTGGGGTCTTGAAAAGGATCTTGCCTGGGAAAGAGGTAGTGGATGGATAGTGTATAATTCACCCAAAATCCAAGTCAGCTGGAGCCTGCTCTGGGGTGAGAATGCTGGTGATAGTTAATAACCAGCAAAGTCCCAGAGGATGACACCATCTGCAGCTGAGCTGATGAATTAAAGTCTAAGCAGTAGTGTCAGGGGCTGGAGAGAACATTCTGCAAATGAGGCTGATAGGGAAGCATGCTAAGGGAATACACCTTCCTTGTTATAATTGCTCCGCTCTCAAAGGCATTCCAGTCCAAGCCTGCTTGGCTGTCACAGCTTAGAGAACCAAGGACAGAGCAGAGCAGTGCAGACTGTAGTCTGTGGGTCTTCTCATGACACAGCTGGAAGCAGAAGAATTTCTTTCCACCTAGGGCCTGTCAGTCAAGACTGGGGTGGGGTTCTGATTTTGCCTTCAAAAGCTACATGACTTTGGAAGAGACTACTTAACCTCTCTGGGCCTCATTCTTATTATTTCCAAAATTGGGGTAATAATGTCTGCCTCACAGGATTGTTAGGAGATTCATGCGAGATAATGTGTGTAATACAATCAAAGCTATTTTGGTTTCAAAAAAAACAGGGCTCCCACGTTTAGGCGCAATGGGGGATCTTGTATAAGGATGCTAGAGGATCTCATAAAAACTATTCGAAGGAAGACGGTGTGCCCCTTCACATGGGGGAATAATACAAAATATAATTTAGTTATTTTCAACAGGTCCCAGAACCGGCAAATTGCATGCTGCAAAGAAGTTTCTCTTTTCTTACCTCTCTGCTTGGAGGTTTTAGCCTTTTTCTGGAGACTGACTTCTTCCACGTGTCAGAGTCCAAAGCCTGTGACAACTCCCAACTTTCATATCCCGTTCTACCAACAGAGAGAACTGGCTCTGCTCCCAAAAACCTTAGGGAAGACATCCTACTAGTCCATCTGTGTTTATGTGACCAATTCTTGCCCAACCACCTGTGGCTAAGGGGACAGGACCTGTAAAGTATGGCTGCTCCTATAGGAAACACATGGTGCAGTTGAAGGGGGACGATATCCCAGAAGATGGTGGGTGGACAGATAATACATATCCCACCCAGGTTTTGTTGTTGTTGTTGTTGTTTTGAGACAGTCTCACTCTGTGGTCCAGGCTGGAATACAGTGGTGCAATCTCGGCTCACTGCAACCTTTGCCTCCCGGGTTCAAGTGATTCTTGTGCTTCAGTCTCCCAAGTAGTTGGGATTACAGGCGCCTACCTAATCCCACCATGCCCGGCTAATTTTTGTATTTTTGGTAGACACAGGGTTTCACCATGTTGGCCAGCCTGGTCTTGAACTCCTGACCTCAGGTGATCCACCCACCTCAGCCTCCCAAAGTACTGGGATTACAGGTGTAAGGCACCATGCCTGGCCCCACCCAGGGCTTTGTAAATTGTAAAGGACACTTGCTGACCAGGTGTGGTGGCTCACGCTTATAATCTCAGTGCATTGGGAGGCTGTGATGGGAGGATTGCTGGAGGTCAGGAGTTCAAGACCAGCTTGGGCAATATAGCAAGACCCCGTCTCTACAATAAATAAATAATAATAAAGGGCACTTCAGCTGGGACGTCTTGGCAATGGCTACTAGACAAACATGTTCAATGTACAGTCTTATGTGCCCAGTGTCAATCTCTATGTTGTGGTCCTATGAAAGATGTCCATTCCCTGCACTTCTGGACTCCTGCCTTTAAACAGTGGCTTTGTGCTCCCCGAGCTGTGCCTTAGTACTAGTTTAATGGTAATACCCCTAGGAAAGAAGTAGAAAGAAATCTATACTTGGAAGGTCAAAGTTTGAACTGTCACATTGAACTAAACAACAATCAGAAAAGATGTTTTTTTTCTGTGCTTAAATGGGAAAAAAATTAACTTGTTCATAGACTATAGCACTCTACAGCCAGACTCCTGAGAGTCCCAAGTCTGAGCTACTTAGCACTGGAAAATGTATGGTTTATAATCTGGTACTGCTGCTCCCATTCCCAGACCTTTGTCTACCATGAAATAAAGGGTCTGTTGTGCGAGTGGAGAAAGGCAGTGATAGGACCACCTGCTGCAGGGCGGGCTGGGTTGAGGAGAGACATCTTCTGACTTCAATTAAGGCTTCAGGTCACTGAAGCCACTTCTTCCACAGTACACTGGGGGTCTTGCATGTCTCCCGACTTTTAACTCTTCAGCTAGCAGGGAGAGGTTCCTCTGAGCACCCAGCTTATAAATTGGCTTCTGGGTTGGGAGTCCCCCAAGGCCAGCACTGGTCATACTGACCAGGCTGTGTAAATTTTGCCTGTGTTTCCTCTGGATTATGCTTGGCATTCCCTAGCAATAAATCCTTTACAATTGAATAATTGACTGGAGTTGGGGGACAATTCTTAGAACGCTGATTCCTTCTTCATCTTCATCTGATAGTCACTCTAGATGTTAAAACTGAGTAGTTACTTCCAAAGGCCAAAATCAGCTGAATTAAAATCCATGGTTATGCTTATCCAGTCCTCATTTATATCTAAATACTGTGCACAAACAATGTATATTGTGAAGACCCCCGTTAAGGAAGAACAGAAACTGGGCTTTAACTCCTCAATTCTGACAATTCAGCTTATGAGGAATTTGATAGAATTAGGCTGCCTCCAGCATTGGTCAATGTTTTACAATGAGCAGCTCTGTCATTATGCCCATCTAATTCCTGCCTTTTCAGACAACAGGAAATGGGGTTAGTACCAAGGGGCAGCAAGGTGCTGTGACCTTGACACCTGTTCAGTAGGAAGTGGACTGAAACGGGAATTGAGAATTTCAGGCACCTGTCGTCACCCAACCACTCTCATCTGGGCAAAAAGCAGTCCATAGAAGATTGTCTGGAGTTTCCCTGACTTTACGTGATTATTGATTTTTAAAAAGAGACACGGAGAGAGAGAGAGATAAGTATGTGAAGCCCGGCGAGAAGCAGGTAGCAACTCCTTAGAGGAAGCAGCAGCTGGGGCTTGGCTAAGACAGGAGACAGTAGGAGCATGGGGCAGGGTTCGAGGCACAGGAACAAGACGTGAAGCCGCTGTGGCACCGGGAAAGGCCCTGTAGCATGGGAAAGGCTCTCTCTTAGCTCAGAAGGAGCTGGCACTAGGCTGGCAGCTCTAACTCTGACTCTATTACAGGTCTAACTCTTGCTACCTACGTCCTTCCAACACAGTCAGTTTTCTGCCCTGTGACTCAGTTTACCTCTCTGCAACTTGGCCTACTCACTACTCTGGACCTTACTCTGAAGTTCCAAAGTTCTCCAGGTAGCAGGCATCCAAGACAACACCATAATTATGACTTCTTTGTATTTTCTCCTGAGTGGATGCCTTAAGGATTATGTATTGATCTAAAAAGGAGTCGTTGAGCTCATGTCAAAATTAGGGCCATCTGTGTTAAAATATAAATAGTAAGTGGGATTCAATACATTTGGTCTTAAAATTTAAATAGTATTATAAAACTTAGAAGACATGATGATGGTTAGGAGAAGACACTATCTGCCAGGGCTCAGTCACATATGGGTGAGAAATTTCCTACAAAATAAATGCAAAGACAGGACGTATGAGAAACAGGCAGACAGAGAGCAACATTAACACATCCATCACTTCAGGAGGTCATGTCATTTCTGCTACTCAACGTCAAGATCCACTGTGAATTTTACAAGGCCTGAGACCATGTAATGGAGGGCCATACACCATATGTAAAAATGTTTATAATTTTTTAATTCAGTTAACAAACTGAAATATTAAATAAGTTTTTTCCCTATTTGACAATTTTTCTTTCAAGATGGCCTGGCCTTAGAGGAAAACATAGGCATGACCTTAGATCAGGCAATGGTTTCTCAGATGTGATACCAAAAGCACAAACAACAAAAGAAAAAAAATAGGTAAATTGGACACTGTCAGAATTAAAAACTTTTGTGTTTCAAAGGACACCATCAAAAAAGTGAAAAGACACCTCACAGAATGGGAGAAAATATTTGCAAATCATATACTAGGGAAGAATCTAGTATCCAGAATATATACAGAACACCCACAACTCAACAATTAAAACATAACCCAGTTTTTTAAATGGGCAAAGGATTGGAATAGATACTTCTACAAAGAAAATATTCAAATTACCGAAAAGCACATGAAAAAGTGCTCAGCGTCATTGGTCATTAAGGAAATGCAAACAAAACCACAGTGAGATACCATTGCATATCCAGTAGGATAGTTTCAATCAAAATGACAGACAATAACCAGTGTTGGCCAGGATGTAGAGAAACCGGACGCCTAACGCACTGCTGGTAGGAATGAAAAGTATGGCACAGTCACAGTGGAAAAGAGTCTAGCAGTTCCTCAAAAGTTAAACTTAGAATTACCACGACCCAGCCATTCCACTCCTAGGTATGTACCAAGACAACTGAAGACATGTGTTCACCTAAAAACTAGTGAACATTCATAGTAGCATTGTTCGTAATTACCAAAAAGTGTGAATAACCCAAATGTCCATCAATGAATGAGTGGATAACGAAAATGTGGTACAGTGGAATATTATTCAGCCACTATTGAAGTATTGATACATGTTACAACATGAATGAATCTTAAAAACATTATGCTGAGTGAAAGAAACCAGACCCAAAATATGACGTATTGTATAACTCCATTTGTATGAAATGTCCAGAATGAGCAACTCTATAAAGATGGAAAGATTGCCAGGAGGGTGAGTACTAATTGGTATGGGTTATTTTTTTAGGGGGATGGTGATGAAGTATTATGGAATTAGATAGTCATTATAATTGTGCAATCTTGTGAATATACTAAAAAGTATTGAATTGAACACTTCAAAAGGGTAAATTTTATGGTATGTGAGTTAAGTCCTAATTTTAAAATGACTTGGAAGATCAGGTTCAAATTTAGAATTTCATCCTTCCCATCCCCTGGTCACCAGCCCCAGTTCTCTTCCCACACTTGGCTCTTTCTGCCTCACGAGTGTGCTCCCATGCCCCCACGTGAACCCCCCTGCCCTCATGGCCAGGCTGTGTCTACGCCCCCAAAGCAGCCACCCTTAGCTCCTCTCACACCTGGAGGTGAGCACGCAGGCAGCAGAGCCTGGCCAGTAAGACATTCCTGAGCATGAGGTCCACGCAAGCCATAAAAGTGGACTCAGGGACATTTGAGCAGGGAATTCTTCAGGGTGGTGCTGGTGGGAGCTGGCTCAGGGTCCTCCAGGCAGTTCTCTTGGCCTTGCAGATTCCTTCCCTGTTTAGAGAGCACAGTTGGAGAATGGCCCCAGAGAGGCCCTCTGGAGTGTGTCAGGAGATCATCCTTGCCCAACCGGCTGTGGAGGAGTAAGGGCAGTGTCTGTGCACTTAATAATATGGCAGCAAGGGAAGTGGCTGATGCATAGTTCTTAGAAATATGGATCAGGGAGGATAGCCACTCTCCAAGACAGTCTACCGTAGTTATGCCTGAAGGACAGAGCAAAGCACATCCTGAAGCCCTGGAAGAAGGAAAGAACATCCTTGCAAATAAACTGGGAGCATCCAAGGGCTCAGGAAGGCAGGCCCAGAGCGGCAGCAAGGAGGTGGCGGACAGTAGGCCTAGGACTGGAAGGCATGGCTAGAGCTTTGCGGGAAAACAGAGGGATGTGAGCCTGGGCCTCCGGATTTAAAACATGTGGCATTCGCCTCTAGTCATGTTGGCTCCCTGGGGACACCATCCTTTGACACCTCCTCTTTCTTTCACAGATGTCCTTCCTACCTGCTGCCTGATAAAAGGCTCAGACAGCAATCAGTTTCCCTGGTGAGATAGGAACTGGTGAATAAGATTGAGGTCAGAGGCAAGATACCCTTATCAACACTGCCCATGCGCTTGCAGCAGGCATGATGGCAATCACCTTCTAGAACATCACAGACCTGCTATTTTGAGCAGAAGACTTAGGGAGAAAAGAGATAAGCGAAATCTCCTGCCTGAGGTATCATTTTTCTCCCCACTTGTAGAGCATGAGGCTGGGGAGTCAGTGCAAATGTAAACTTCAGCATGGCCCCTGTGTAACAGCAAATGAGTTTGCTGGGCCTGGGAGGGGCAGACTCCAAGAGGACCATGGCAGCCCTTCCTGTTAAAGGGGAGCCCAGCATTGTCCCAGTGGATGGACGGCTCAGTGCTTTCGCTCTGCCTTCTGTCTACTTTTGCAGCCACTGAGCTGGCCAGAGAAAGAGCAAGCTGAACGACCGTCAGAGGTTTGTCTTTGGCCCCACTGCTGAGAGGAGCAGCCTGGAAATGCTCCAAACCACTGAATGGAGTGGGCTCCTCCGCTGTGTTGGATGTCCCACTTCTCTTCCATCCTAGTGGTGTGGTCTTCCATTGATGTTGATGATTCATGAGATGCACTTTAGCATCTGACCATCTTCAGTTTGGATTCCAGCCATGTGTCTTAGCCTCAATTTCTTCATCCTTAAAAGCAAGAGCTTTAAGTGGGATTCTACATATAAATCTCTTTGCATAATCTCTGGGACACATTAAATGCTGGGAAATTGATGATAAGTATGACTGATTGAACGGGGCTGGGACTCTTTGGTTCAGTCCTTGCTGGATGGCCACAAGCAAACGGGAAGGAATGAGGGGCTTCCCAAATCTCATCCACTGGAAATGTGCTGGCTGTAATTATTTGCTGACAGAAAAGTTTACTTTTCAAAGGAAAAAGTAATCCTTCCTTTCAAATATAAATAAGAGTCTGAGGGTGGGGAGGTGGATTTTAAAGTATCTACTCTGGAGAGTGGTTTCCAAGTATTTATTTCTAAATAATGAGTTAAAACTCTAATCACTCAATGAGTTCTGAAAAGACCTGGAATGGGGGAGAGCTATATAGTCATTGCTTTAAAAAGCTTTCTTGTCTAAGTATTTTTGCCTTTAAGGCTTTGTGAAAGCATCAAACCCTCTCCTCTTCCTTTCCCCCTCCTCTCCCGCCCCCCTTGCTAGCTTTGGAAGTGTTACAGCTCAGCTCTGGGCTGCCCACCAATACCAAACACCTGCCACCTACCCTCTCAACACCCCCTACACCCTACAATAGAAGCGGAAGGTGATCTTGGGTTTTCTGGCTAGAATGCCTTGTGCAGGGCAGAAATAGAGGAATGTAAGAGTGAGATTAACCCACATTCAGCTTCGCCACTAAATATCAGGAAAAGGTTCCCCCTCCCTCCCAGGTCTGTTACCCTTGGCCTTTTTGTGTCCATGCAGGGCAAAGACACCTGCAATTGGTGGTGGGGGTGGAGAGGACACTACAGAAAATTCCAGAATTCAGAGAGTTTCACGTTTTGCTATTATTTTGAAACTGCTATCTCCCATTCAAATGTTGGGCCAATTGCTATTTTTGTAGCACTTAGCATGAAATGGGAATGATAAATTGTTTGGTGCCAGGGACGTAAAATAAAGAAGGACAATGTAGGTAAAAATACTGCTGCTGTGATTTATGGAGCTTCTTGATGCTTTTCTTCTCCTTCCTATGGATATTCTTCCAACTCGATCTCCCTGATCTCCAATCTTGTTTCTCACTTCCAGCACTCAGTCTTTCCTTTCCCTTTTCAGGTTTGTTTTATAATAAATAATTTTCCCTCCAATGGCATGCTCTTAACAAGCCAATGGTGATTCATTTAGCCGGATTTCTCCAGCACCTTCTATGCATTGAGCACTATGTGGGAATCAAAGATGAGGCAATAGTGGTCCAGGGCTAGGCAGTCCATCCAGGCGCAGGGGACACAGGCTGTGTAAGTGGCCTGGGATCCAGGTTGGAAGCTCCCTTACTCCTACCTGAAACAGGTGAATGCAAGCACAAACCAAAGCTGAGCTAGCATTGGACCAGACTTCCCGAGAACCCCTCAGGTGGCTGGGGCAAATCATCCTGTCTTAGTAGGGGAATCCTCAGTCCAGCACCCTGCAACGGGTGTTTGGGAGTAGGGAAGTGTCTTTGGAAACCAGGCTACCTGGGTTCGAATCGCACCTCTGCCGCATGCCAAGTGGGTGACCTGGGGTTTAACCTTACTTATGTCCCTAAATTCCAGATTTCTCCTCAATAAAATGGGAATGATAACAGTACCCATCTCACAGAGTAACTGTGAAAATTATTGGAAATACTGTATGGAAAGTGCTTCACAAAATTGGCTGCTATAATAATAACAACAACAAGAATGTTGTTATAACGATCACAATAACTCAGGCCCAATCCAGGATGAGGTCTATGGTCCAGAATGCTTTCCAGGAGGACAGAATTTTGGAAAGCTTTCAGTTAGCACAGACCTCAGAATTAGAGACAGTGGAGCAAGTGTCAGCCCAGGGAGAAAAGGAAGCAAGGGCACCACTAGATTTGGGTGAGGAAGTTAGATCATTTGGCTGATGGATTGGTGTGCAGATGTGGGTATTCTATTCTCAGAACGGTTGTGAGATTGGACCAGACACTGAGCACATGACTAGAAGACAGACACTTAAGCCAGTGGCCCAGGCAGAAGGACCAGATAAGCTAACGAGCTACTCACAGTGGTCTGGAGCAGGGAGGCCAAGCTGGCTGCTCAGTGTTCAAAGGCACTGCCAAGAAGGATGAACAGAAGAAAAGGCCATGGCTCGTGTTCTGCAGTGCCCTGCGTGGGGCTCTCATTGGGCCAGGGTCAGGGAGAGGCTATATCTGCAGGTGTTGAGTGGCATTGCGATGGTTAGGGAAGTAGGAGCTGAGGCAAGCCAGGGCTTAGTCCTAGTCAACAAACACATCCAGCAAAGACTGTACTCTCAGGAGGTGTACCTTCCATGGAGAAGACAGAAACTAAACAAAGTCACCATTTACAAGAAACCACCAGACTCTCTCCCTTGTGAAAATCCATAGTGTCTTAAATTTGTGACCTGATAACATTAGGACGGCTGTATAGCATTATGGTGATGAACTTGGCCTCTGGACTTAGCTTGTCTGGAATCAAAAACATCTCAGCCATTTACCAGTCAGGTGACCTTGGGCAAGGTCCTTGTCTTCTCTGCACTTGCATTCCTTTGTCTGTAAAATCCGGAGGATAGCAGTAGCCACACTGTTTTTAAAAGGACTAAATATGAGAGTAAACTGCTTGGCACAGAGATTATTGAAACCAATCAAATAAAAGAGATCTGCTTCATCCCTTCAACCAGTCATTCATTTTTTTGAATAGATAGATATTTACTGGAAAATATTTATTCTAGTAGCCCTACCCTATGCTTGTTACTGTTCCAGGGTCTAATAAACTAGTGTCAGACAAAAGAGACAAAGTTGGCATGGGGCATGTTTGCCAGTGGAAGAGACACAAACACGATACAATGACGGGTAACAGCAAATTATCAGAGTAAAAGCAAAGCCAGGTAAGGCAGTGGAGAAGGACCTGGCAACAATCTCTGCAAAACAAAATGTAAGCAGAGACCAGAACAAGGTGAGCATCCAGGCCATGCTGATTGTTGGGGGAAAGCCTTCTAGGCAGAAGGAACAGCAAAAGCAGAAAACCCTAGGTGAGACAATGTGGGTTGGGAACAGCTAAGAGGCATTGAAGCCGTCTTCACAGCGTTAACAAGAATTCTGGACAGAAATAGAGTTAAAATGAAGCATTAATCAGGCTGCACTTTAACCATTTTCTTGTAACTAAAAGTCATAAAGCATTAGATATTGACCATTCAAATCCCCATTTTTCCTATGGATAAAATTCCTGGCATTAGAATTAGAAGGTTTTTGTTTAAGAATTGCTTAAGCAGATCCTGAATTTCAGCAGAACACCTGGCAACTACCCGTTTAAAGACTTTCACAGGGGAACTGAATCAGCACGAGAATACAGTTTCTTCATCTGCTTTTCCCATGACTTCACCCTGCACTTTTTGACCAATCAACAATCTCCATACTTTGGTCCACTCGAAAACTTGTAAAAACCCTAAGCCCAAATTCCTGGAGGAGACAAATTTGAGGTTTCTTCTTGTCTCCTCGTTTGGTGGTCCTACCATTAAATCTCTTCCTCTGCTGCAACCCAGTGTCTCAGTGTATTGACCCGCTATGTGCACTGGGCAACGAACCTATTATAGTTACAGCATGTGGGGCTGGAAGTGGCGAACAAGAGAGTGATAAATGAAGTCAAAGGTGGCTGGGCCATATCTGTTTTCATTCTCATGGCAGTGGGAAGGCACTGGAAGATTTGAACAGGGAGAATGCCATGAGCAGACTCTTAGAAAGATCACTTTGGCTTCTGTGTAGGAAATAAACCACTAAGAGCAAAATTAAATGAGACAAACCAGTTAGTCATTCACAGCAGCAGTCAAGACTTAAGATGATTGTGGCCCAACCGGGGTGGCTGCAGTGGAGGTGGTGAGGCGTGGGTAAATTCGGAATATATTTAGAGTGAGGACTCAACAGGGAATATTGATAGAAGCAAAAAAGAACCAGGGAAGCATGGCTCTATAATTTATTATGCAAACCAAGATTTTTGGCAGTTAAAGGGGATGGTTAAAGACTGACATTGTAAACTGGGATACACAGTCACCTTAATCAGGGACTTTTATTGTTGTTGTTTAACTGGGAAGACGCTATGGCAGTTTCCTGAGATGAAGAACAGGGGAGGAAGAATAGTTGCTGAAGCCAGGGGGTTGGGGAATCAAATAATTTCTATTGAGTGTGTAAAGATGCCTACTAGACACAGCTTAAGTGTTCGTCAGAAGTTCATGAAGAGGTGGGGTCACACATTCGGAATTTATGGTTCTGATGAAAGTTTTATGTAAGTGGAGACGAGAAGAGCCCCAAGGACAGAACTTGGGGACACTCCAACATTCCGAGGTCAGGAAAGGGAGAGGAATCCAGAAAAATGATGCTGTGAGGAAGTAGGTAAAGTAGAAGAAAACCAAGAAGGTGGAATGTTCCAGAAACCAAGTAAAAAAAAATCAGAAAAGAAAAAGACTCGAGACTCAACTATGGGATTTGCATGTGTGAAGATTGTTGGTAACGTTGGTCATAACTTCAGAGCACTGGTGGGGACAACAACCTCATACAAGTGGGTTCCAAAGAGAATGAGAGAACAGTGAATATAGAGAATTTCTCCAGAGTGATTCAGTGGGGGCAGTTGCTGGAAAGGAGCTCTTTTTAAAGATGGGAGAAAGGATAGTGATTGTCTGCTGATGGGAATGAGACAGCAGGTGGGAGAGCTTTGATGCAGGAGAGAAAAGAGTTGATTGCATAAGCAAAGAACAGGCCAGAGGGGACAGGAACCAGTGCACAAGCTCAGGGTCTGGCTTCATGAGGGGCAGGCACAGCTGTCCACCAGGCAGGGTACACCATCAGAGACAGGTAAATTGGTGGATGTGGCTGTAGAGTGACATTTTCTTCCAGTTGTGTCTACATTCTCAGTAAAATAGGAAGCAAGATCATTGGCTGAGAATAAAGGTGGGAACAAGGTGTTAGAGGTTGAAGGAGAGAACAGAAGGTCCCAGGGAGTGAGAAAATGAATTGACTGGGGGCTGGGTTGCTCAACAGTCCTGAGGGACCCATCTTGATGTCTGGCCATAAACTTGAGTTGATCCCAGTTTATCCAGTTATTCTTTCACTCTGGCCTAGTCAACCACTCAGATGCAGACTCAGTACACCTGAATTTAACTGTTTTTTTTTTTCAAGGATTCTATGATAGAAAGACACGATTGTTGAGGCTGTATGTACAGGAGTGACTAAAGGGATGGACTGTAGGCTGAGAAAAAAGGAAAGTGAGAAAATGATGGGGATTCAAGGTGGTAGGGGTACTGATTGGTGGTCCTAATGGGCAAAGAATTGTTAGATTCAGGCCATGAGAGGGAGTGACCTGGATAGATACGAGGTAGCAGTCAGAAAGCAGAGTGTTTGAAATGAGTATTTTGGAGTTGCTGTGGTTAAGGGCAGTGGAGGGGGTGGCTGGGGTGGGATGAAGGACAAGGTCACTGGCAAGGATGAGGATGTTAGATTAAGTGTGTATGTGGCTTTGAAATTGCCAGGAATGATGACAGTGAGTCAGTGCTCAAACCTTTGATGAATGAGGCAAAGAGTCTATAAATGATTACAACTGGGAGTAGGGGAGCTGGGGTGTTTTATGGAGGAGAGAGAACCAATGCTAATAAATAGCAAAGATCCCCCGCCCTCAAACGCGCACACACACACACACACACACACACACACACACACACACACAACGATAGCCAGGCATAGTAGAAAGGCTGTGGAGAACAGCCAACTTGAAACATGTAGCAGAAACAGGGTCCCCAGGAAGGGCCAGGTCTGCTTCACAGTGGGAGAATGAAGGGACCATCCAGCAGGAGCTGATGTTGGGGGAGGAGGTGCTGGTGGTGACCATGATTTCCAGAGCACAGGCTTTGGATGTCAGAAGCCTGGGAGCTTGAATCAGATTGGAGAATCGACCTAGCCACAATGGGACAGTGGTCCTGAGAAGGGATGGCCAGAGAAGCTAGGGCTTCCTGTGGAAACTGCAGCAGACTTAAGAGCTAAGAGGCAGACTGGGAATCCCACTGTGATCCTTAGGAGTGGGTGGGTCACCTGCTGTAGGTTTATCCTCCTTCTTGGCACTGGTCACTTTGCAAAGGGAAGGAGAGATTTAGGGCAGCAGAGCCACAGAAAGAAAGGGAGGCTCGGTGTCCTTATCAGGAGAAGGAGCAGCCATGTAAACCTCCCTCCACGCAGGAATGGTGCCCTCTTATCAAGACAACGGGAGCTCCATCAGTTCAGCAGCGACTTGCTGAGGGACAGGAATGCAAAAGTCCAGAGAGGGGTCAAGCTGGGCTAGGTCAAGGAAAAGCCAAAGATTCCACAGGTTCCTGCCTGGGGAACACCTAGACCACTGTGCATCTCAATAGGAAGGAGTCCTGAGAGCCTCTGTCACGACCCCAGGAGCTGGGGTGCTGCCTGTCACCCACAGATGTTTTTACACATGTTAAAGGAGCAGAGCTAGCAATGGCTTTCCTGTAACGTCCGTACTGCTGCGCCCGTCTTCACGTTGAAAACGGCAATGAATTAAGGACAAAAGATTAATGTTGTTGGCCTGGTGTATTATATACTCAACTTCCATGGAAACCCAGCAGGTAGTAAATCAACCAAAACCCATATTTAATAACTCCTAGTAAAACCCAATTTACTCACCTGCCAACCATGGAAAAGTTGATTGCTTTGTCAGAGGAACCCCATTCATTGTAGACTCTTGGAACTGCCCTAGACATAAGAATCACATTTACCTTTTTCGGATGGAGATAATGCATTCAAAATGAGCCATAAAATAGCCTAGGAGCAACATACCTGCTGTTAATAATAGTGCTAGATTACTTTATTTGTCATATACTCCAGATCTGTCTACCTTGGTATCTGGCATTGTTCCTGAATTTTTAACAAGCGCCCTCATAAGGCAGCGAGAAAAGGCAAATAACCATGGACTTGAAAAGGAAGACACGAAGAGCAATACCCTTCCTTCCTGGCTGTTTCAAACAAGTCATTTGGCCTTAGCCTTTAGGGAAGATATTAGCTTTCTGAATCACATCTTATCATTTGGTAATTGTACTGTTCGGTTTCCTGGGGATCTTTCTACTTCATGACCTCCGGCTCGGTGATTGGATTGATCAGAAGGAAATGATGGGAAGCTTTCCTTCCCATCTCACTTATTCTGGCTCTCTATTGTCTGCCTAGCATTTTCTCCAGCTTTGCTCTCCTTCATCAACAAGCTACTTGTTCCTGAGAAAATTCCCAGTGCTCTCCAGCTGCCTCCTGGATGCAAGTGCACTTCAGTACAAAAAGTCTGAACCAGGAGAGCTGATCACCGGAAAGGAGGCAAAGGACGCTGTTTGCTGGATAATTTAGTGCTTGTTCGCCTGCCTGTTACTTCTTTTTCTTTGATCTATAAGCATCAATTGTTCCAAGGGGGGTAAAATGCTTTCTGCTTTTGATTGGATTTAAGTTATATGGCTGGTATAACTTAAAAGTACCCATATCTCTTAGGTGACAAAGAACTTGAAAGTTTGCATAGAAAAGAATTTGGGATCCAGGACTGCAATGAAAGACAAGGAATCTGGGCTCTGCTTCTAACTCCAAAACAAGCATCTGTGGCCTGAAATCCATATTTTTCCCTCAGGCTCTGAATTTATGTCAATACTGAGCTTGAGCTCATGTCTGCAAATAGGCAATAATTCATAATCAATCCACTAATTAAAGTTATACATGTTTGATTGTGGTGAACTAAAATAGTCTCCTTGGCTTAACCATGTCTCTTTAGAATTTTCTCACATTTATAAACAAGAGGGTGTGAATTATACAAGCCTCTCTATTAATAGTAGGAGCCAAGGCTCACTCAATATTTTAACAGATAACCGTTCTTTGCAGGAAGTACTAGAGTGCAATATTTCTCAATTTAGCCTGGATGGATAGATTCCCAGGGATCAGAATGTTTACAAATGCATTCTTTTAAATTTGTATTACCATTTTGCTAATACTATAAAAATATATGTATATTCTGAGATCATCAGTTCCTAACTACAGCCTGGTTTCTGTGTTTTCATTTGGTTTACAGTTTCTATACTAGCACAACATACCGATTTGTTTAACTCTACACCAGGCGATACCAGTCTACATATTTTTTAATGCATGTACTCATTTTATCTTCACAGGAACCCTACAAGGTAGATTCTATTAGCATATGTATTTTATAGATGAGGAAGCAGGCACAGAGACATCAAGTGTCATGCTTCATTTTACAAAGCTGGAACATGCTGGAGTCAGAACCCAACCAGGCAGTCTTGCTTCAGAGTAAGTAGCTCTTAACTACTTTGCTATTTTGCTCCTCCAACTGGTAGCACTTCACTTCTAATGTGGTATTTTACCAACTTGGCTCCACAGAATCTAGGAGATTCATGGAGTATGCTCAAGAATTATGGAAGGTTGTTTTTCTCAAAATAAATCTGTACATTTCTTAAGTTTTCAAAAGCATAGGCTTTGGAATAATATCATTTGGGGTCAAATCTAGAGAAGGTTCCTATTGGTAAAGTAACATAAGGGTTGTTTCTTTTCTGCTTCTGTTATAATGGGATATTGGTCTCCTTTGTGGGTTATTGTCAGAGTGTGATGACGCGACATATGTTCACTGCTTGGCATACCATATTCAGTGAGGTTGCTCCCTCTTCCTTTCCAATTCCCCATTCCCCATCTTCCTCTTGTCAGGTGGGTACAAGGTGTGTGCTAACAAAGGTAGCTAAACTGGTAGAACTACAAAGAGAAGCACAATCATTAGGTTCACTAATTACTGCTATCTGCCAAATAGACCATTTACTTAGAAGTGATACCATTCCGTATGTGGACTGGATCATTCAAAAGAGACAAATGTTTGTAGACAGATGCAGAGATGTGCTGAGAATAAAGACAAGAGAAAGAAAGAATATTATATTCTTCTGGCAGACAAAAGACAAATGATTCTAATTTTGATTCTGCCATAAACTTGTGCTGTGTTCTGGGACAAGTCTGAGCTTCCATTTTTATGCCTAAAATTAAGGAATTTTAGTAGATCAACAGTTTTAATTTTTTTTAGACATAGAATCATTTCATCAATAAAACATATACCCAAAAAAGCAAATTAGTTTCAGGAAGCATGACAACTTTGACCAATTCACAGTGACTCTCTGGGGCCTAATGTGGAGAAGGATTTTACAATGAGAGAAATCTGTGATTGATTAGCAATGTCTGCCAGGGTCACAAAAAGCAGACAGGCCTCCCTGTGAAGACCATCCTGTCCAGAAGACAAATATGATAAGCAGATATAGAGGAATATTTCAGGCTGAACCAGGAGAGATGCCTAAGCCTGGTTTACTCTCTTCAGCAAGCCATCCTACTATAGAAAATTCCCCCTAGCCTTTCTTAGTCTCTATGTTTCTAAATCTTGGAGGTAATATACTTTTTAAAAACTATCCAATAGCTAAGACCGTGAGAAGAATTTGATATATAATTACTAAAATTATTCCAATCAAACTCAGCAGATAAAGCAAGAGTAATATATTTTATATTGTCATTAGACCCAGCCACTACAATAACATTTTTGCCTAAAGCCTCATTTTAATTAAGAGACAAGAAATAAATTAGGCTTCCTAGAAACAGGGGTTAGTACCAGCTCATCATATTTGGCTGTGGGATATTTAGTCTTCTCTTAGAGACACCTGCTCCATGTAATTTACTGTCTTGTGGGATGTTTTAATAGCCTTTTTCTAAGGGATGAATAATGTCCCACTGTATTGTTCAGGAGCAAAAAATGGCCACAGCTGGGTGAGATGCTTAGCAACTTTTACTATGTCAAAGAGATTTTCCAAACTCAGCAATCTGAGGCGGTAGAAATTCATCATTGCATTCATCAGGTGCCTCAGTACCACATAGCACAGGGAATCTGCTCCAGCAGATAAAGAAACAACCCTCATTAAAGTCCTAGGGAGACATCTGCCTTAATGCCCACCAAGCCTCCGACACTTGGCACTCTCAGAACTCAGCACCAAGTTCCTTGCCCTGCATACAAAATGTTTGTTTAAGAGAACAAGAAAAAGATGAAAGGGAAGTAACACTTAATAGCTATACTCATAGTTGCAAATCATATTTTAAGAGAAAGTAAGGGAAACAAAGCCCACGGGTGAAGGACATTTAACAACATAAATGAATAGTTTATACATATACCTGAAACTTAACTTTAGAGAATGGCACTTCCTTCATTAAGTTATTTTCAATGTTTATCCTTAAAAAGTAGCTTCAGGCCGGGCATGGTGGCTCACACCTGTAATCCCAGCACTTTGGGAGGCCAAGGCGGGCGGATCATGAGGTCAGGAGTTTGAGAACAGACTGGCCACGATAGTGAAACCCCATTTCTTCTAAATATACAAAAAATTAGCAGGCATGGTGGCGGGCATCTATAATCCCAGCTACTTGAGAGGCTGAGGCAGGAGAATTGCTTGAACCTGGGAGGCAGATGTTGCAGCAAGCTGAGATCGCGCCACTACACACCAGCGGGTGTAACAGTGTGAGACTCCGTCTCAAAATAAAAAACAAAAAACGAAGTAGCTTCAAACCCATCAAACCACTTATCTGAGGTTTGTTAGACTGGAGAAATTTAACTATCTTATAAAAGTATCTGGGAACTTAAGATATTATTTTTTAAAAAGAGAGAAAGATTCTAACATTGGTGGTATCCTTCTTGAAAATTCAATATGTTGGGCAAGTCACTTCAACAAAACTGGGATTTTAGTATTTATCTATTAACTGAAATGTAGGCAATGGCAAAAAAAATGAGTTGAGGCCAGGTGCAGTGGTTCATACCTGTAATCCTAGCACTTTGGGAGACCAAGGTAGGTGGATCTCTTGAGGCCAGGAGTTTGAGATCAGCCTGTGCAACATAGTGAGACCCCTGTCTCTACAAAAAAAAAAAAAAAAAAAAAAAAAAAAAAAACAAGGCTGGACATGGCGTGGGTGCCTATAGTGCTAGCTACTCAAGAGGCTGAGGTGGGAGGATCACTTGAGCCCAGGAGTTTGAGGCTGCAGTGGGCTATGATTGTACCACTGCACTCCAGCCTTGGCAACAGAACAAGGCTCAGTCTCAAAAAAAAGAGAGAGAGTCAAAATATTTAAGTCAGTGTTTTCAAATATTTAGGTTACAAGAGTATAAGCGAAAGGTCCACAAGTATGTTGTGAAGACTAAAAATAGGCCTGCCTTATTCCTCCATGACAAGTAAATGCTGCTGCAGTTAAGCAGGTATGAAAGTCATCAGGGAACCCACGCTTCTGTGTCATGCATCTCCACAACCCAAGTGTTTGAACTCTTTCATCTGATGCATACATCTCATTTACTCAATCAGCATATAAAAAGATAACTCAGAGCCATCAGTCATGCGCAAATAAAAACCACTATGAAATGCCATTTTACACTCACTAAGATGGCTATAATAAAAAAAGACAATAACAAATGTTGGCCAGGATGTGACAAAATCAAAACCCTCATACAGTACTGGTAGGATTGTAAAATGGTGCAGCTGCTGTGAAAACCAGTCTGGCAGTTCCTCAAAATGAGGTTAAACATAGAGTTACCATATAACCCAGAAATTCCACTCATAGGCATATATATCCAAGAGAAGTAAAAATACATGTCCACAAGTACATGAATGCTCACAGCAGCATTATTCATAGTAGTCAAAAGCTGGAAACTACCCAAATGTTCATCAACTGAGGTATGGCTAAGTTAGAATATGGTATATCCATAAAATGCAATATTAGATGACAATAAAAATAAATGATGTTTACAAAAAGAAAAAAGGGAGTATCTATAGCAGGCCTGAACCTTGAACATATGCTAAATGAAAGAACCCGCTCATAAAGAACCATAGAGTGTATGATTCCATTTTTATGATATATCCAGAATAGGAAATCCATAGAGAAAAAAAGGAGAATAGTTATTGCCTAGAACCTGTGAGCCTGGGGAGAAATGGAGAATGAGTATGATAGCTATTGGGTACAGGGTTTCTTTCGGGGGTGATGAAATGTCCTAAAATTGAATATGTTGATGGTTGCACAAATCTGTGAATATAATACAAACCATTGAATTATACCTTTTAGATGGACGGAGTGTATGACATGTGAATTATATCTCCATAAAACTATAATAAAAGAAGAAATAACAAGGAAAAATCCCAGAATATTCATAGTCCAGATTAGCCAAATAGGACAATGAATCCATGCATCAAAAGAGAGAGAAGAAACATATTAATTCAGTATGTGGTAAAATTCGCATTTCCAATCAGCAGAAAAGTTATGAAATTATTTCATCGATTAGTTCAACACATTGTGACAGAAAAGTTGGCTACTCATCTGTGAAAGAAGAATAAAGTTAGATACTCTGCTCACATATATATAAAAACAAATTCCAAATTGGCCTAAGATGTAAATGGGCAAAATAATATAAGTTTTATAAAAATAAGCAAATAATCTTATAACTTTGGCATGCAGAAGTTCTTTCTAAACAAGAAGTAAGACCTAAATGTTCTAAAGGAAGTGGTAGACAATTGTGTTTACCTGAAAATCAAAACAATTTACGACAAAAATGTTATAAAGTTTAAAAATGAGCAAGACTATAAAAATATAGTCTTATATATTAGAAATATATAAGAAATATGTATTATATCTGTTATATAACATATATTCATAACATACAGAAAAAATTCTTAATGCACAAACTACAGAAGGAGTTCTTACAAGACCAAAAGTTAAAAAATAATCAATTTTATTATTGATTTTGCATATGCTTTTTAAGGGAAAAAGATATGAACAAGTAACAGATAAAGAAATTCATATGGCCAATAAACACTTGAAAATATACTAATGGAAATTCAATATAAGCAATATAATTTCTTTTTTATCTACTTGATTAACAAAAATTAAAAACATTGTAAACATCTAATGTTGGCAGGAAAAGACATTCACTCTCATTCGATGTTGGTAGAAGATAAATTGGTATATCCTTTTGGGATCAAAATTTGGCAGTGTCGGCCAGGCATGGTGGCTCATGCCTGTAATCCCAGCACTTTGGGAGGCCAAGGTGGGCAGATCACGAGATCAGGAGATTGAGACTATCCTGGCTAACATGGTGAAACCCCGTCTCTACTAAAAATACAAAGAATTAGCCGGGCGTGGTGGCAGGGGCCTCTAGTCCCAGCTACTCGGGAGGCTGAGGCAGAAGAATGGCGTGAACCCGGGAGGCGGAGCTTGCAGTGAGCCGAGATGGTGCCACTGCACTCCAGCCTGGGCGACAGAGCAAGACTCCGTCTCAAAAAAAAAAAAAAAAAAAAAGACAAAAAACAAAATTTGGCAGTGTTTATGTAATTTTATATTCATATGATCTTTGCAGTTCCAATTCAGGAAACTAACCTTAAAAAATACCTGCACAGGTGCACAAAAATTTAAGTAAACATTATTTATGGAAGCACTGTTTGTAATAGTAAGAAACTGGGAAAACCCCAAAAAGTCTGTTCCTGGGAGATTATCACCTGAACTGCAGGACAGTCCTACCATGCAATCGTATGCAATTGTTAAAATAATACACACTGACATAGAAAGACCTCCAAGATCTATTCTTAAGGAATAAAAAATAAGTCTCAAAATAATAAACATGGAAAGATCCCATTTATATAAGACTTGTATATAAATATAGATGATGATCCACAGACACCATTACTATGGGGCATGTGATGAAAGATGGAAAGTTCCTCTTATTCTACAGCTGTTTGGTGTTTTTCAATGAGTAGGTTTCTATGTATGATTTCATAAATTTTAATTGATGCTTAAAATGATAAAGGACACAGTGTAGATTAATTCTAAGTTCCTTTCCAGCTCTCCGCATCTATGACTCTGTAACCGTCAGTAGCTACTGCCTCCATCTGCTTTCATCACTGCAGAGGCAGACAACACCACCCTGCAAGATAGTCGACTTTCAGACTTGAAGCCACATCCATTCTGCTAAAATGCACAGGTGTTTAGCTCTGTTTCTTTAACCAATGACATGATCATATTACACTAAGCTTATCTTGGTGTCAAAAGCAAAGCTTGGGTTTGATGGCATGAATCAGGAGATGGCCAACAATGCGGTGCTTGAAGGCTGAAGAGAGTGCTGACTCAGAGTCTCCTTAGCTAGACTGACTGCAAAACTGAATACACAAGGGACTTGCAGAGAGGAAAACAGGGGCAGAGGAATGCAAGGTGCTCCGTGGTTTCCCCACCTGTCCTTTGACCCTTTGCTGTTTAGGAGAACAGGTGAGTTAGCAGAGAACCCAGGATGGCCGTCAGAGTGTTTGCTGTGTCTTAGGAAACAGACCCTGGATAGTCGTGCTCTGGTGAATAAACTGTTCAGTTATTTAAATTTATGGCTAAGCATGGTAGGATATCTTCTTCCAGTTTGGGTTGCAGCTATGGCGTCAGCAGAAATCTACGTAAGACTCAGAAAAACTGGGCCCAAAATGTACACAATCTTCGTTAGGAAATGTTGATGTAAAACAGCAGAAAATCTCTCAAGCTATAATTTCCAACAATTTGCAGTAAAAAAAAAATTCATCTATAAATATATACCATTTATATATAAATGATATATATTATTTTAATAATATATCTTTTATAATATGTATAAATTACTTATACATATTTTCTATTATATATAATATTTTGTATTATACATAATATACAATATATTTTCTATTATATATATTTTGTATTATATATAATATACAATATATTTTCTATTATATATAATATATTTTGTATTATATATATTACAATATATTTTGTATTATATAATATATAATACAATATATAATATATTGTATTATATATTATATAATACAATATATTATATATTGTATTATATATTATATATAATACTATATAATATATTGTATTATATATTATATATAATACTATATAATATATTTTATTATATATTATATATAATACAATATATAATATATTGTATTATAATACAATGTATTATAATGTATTATATTGTATTATATATTATATATAATACAATATATAATAATATATTATAATATATAATAATAATATAATATAATAATAATATATATTGTATTATATATTATATAATACAATATATAATATATTGTATTATATATATTTTATTACATATAATATATAATACATTATATAATATATTTTGTATTATATATAATATATTTTATTATGTATTATAGATAATATATTTTATTATATATTATATATAATACAATATATAATATATTTTGTATTGTATATAATATATAATACAATATATAATATATTGTATTATATATAATATTAATATATTTTGTATTATATATTTATATTTTATATTATAATTATGTTTTGCATTATATATTTCATATTATATATACCATATTTATATATGTCATATTTATATTATATAATAATATATAATATATATAACAGTAATATAATTATAGTTATAGCCACACAGAGAATAAAACTGGAACATGAAAGCTGGGAATTGGGACTTTCCCCTCTCCTTTCCCCTTCCTCTTGCTCCTCCTCTTTCTTCTCTCTTTCTGTCTCTCTGTCTCTCTCTCTCTCTCTAACACACACACATACCCCTCTTACTACTTCTCAAGGTCCAAATGTTATGTCCTTCACTTCCTCATGTTTACTTCTTCCTGCCTCCTGTCTGTCCATCCATCTATACATCTCTCTCTGTCTCTGTCTCTTTCTCTCTCACTCAGCTAGCTTCCCTCTCATTTTTACCTCTTCCTGCCTTCTGTCTGTCCATCCATACATCTCTCTCTCTGTCTCACTCAGCTGGCTTCCTCTGCGTTCAAAAGTCCAAAATGACCTTTATTTCAAATATGCACTGTTCTCTAACAACCTCATCTTTCGATATCCAAATGATAAACTAGAAAGACAAATGTCCAGTTGTGTCAGACCAGCCTAGGAGGTGGTTTCCTAGTTCTGATGGTTTGCTCTTCATCTTTAACAGAAAGAAAACCAGAAGAGAGACAGCAGCAAGAGCTGCAGGCGAGGCTGGGCATGGATTCCAGGGGAAGGAGATGACAGTGGGAGGAATGGCCATCATTCCAAAAGGGCTGGATTGCACAGCAGGGCAGCATCGCAAGAGTAGGAAGGGCTGTTCAACAATGTGGCCTCCCCTGCAAGAGTCACACCTGTTATTCAGCCTCTGCTTCAGCGTTCCAGAGAGGAGGCTCCCTGCTGCGGCAAATCCCAATGCTGGACAGCTCTGAGCAGATGATGGTTCTTCTTGGTGTTGGTTCTGAACCCTGCCCCTCTATGTCCACCAGCCTTTCATTCTAGAAGACACAACCGTCAACTCTGGGAAGACTCGGCAGGGGGCATATTTCTGAAAGTTCTATTTCCACAGATGGTGTGAAATCAGCAAAGGAAAATGCTGCTTCTGTCCAGACAGCTCTTCCACTCTTTATTCTCACTCTATGAGTCACTGGGTTGACTGTTGATTTCGTTGCTGAACTGGGATTCCTTAACTTGCGCATTCATTTATTCAATAAATATTTGTTTCATGTTTACAAAATAGTAAGTACTACACTCAACACTGGGCCTTCAGTGTGACAAGAGGCATAGTCTCTGTCCTCAGGGACCTTGTGGCTTAATGGGATATTATAAAAATAGTCACACAGTGATTATCACCGTGATGAAAGTGCTGTGGGAGAAAATACAGGGAGCTATGTGATTGTAGCAGACCAGCCTGGCCTGGGTGATGAGGAATGTCTCTTCTTGGGAAGTGACACAGAAGCTGGAGGACAGGAGCACGAGAGATCAGTCCAAGTGGGCAGTGACGCTACATCATCAGAGCAAGGAGCACCCGCAAGTCCAGGAGGCAGGAGGGCCTCTGACCAGGTTGAGAAACAAAGAGGACACCAGCCTGGCTGTGGGTTTAGTGAGCAGCGCAGATTGCAGAGGGCGAGGAGGTTGCAATCACAGCATCAGAGCATGACCCGAAGAACAAAGGAGAGACATTTAAAGATTTAAAGCAGGCCAGTGACATTACCATGTTTTTATTTTTAAAAGATTACTCTGCTGGGTGTGGTGGCTCACACCTTTAATTCTGGCACTTTGGGAGGCCAAGGCGAAAGGATCACTTGAGCTAAGAGTTCAAGACCAGCCTGGGCAACATGGAGAAAGCCCGTCTCTACCAAACAAAATACAAAAAAAACGGTTAGCCAGGTATGGTGATCCACACCTGTAATCCCAGCTATTGGGGGAGGCTGAGGCAAGAAAACCACCTGAACCCGGGGGTGGAGGTTGCAGTGAGCCAAGATCGTGCCACTTCACTCCAGCCTGGGCAACAGAGTGAGATGCTGTCTTAAAAAAAATAAAAATAAAATAAATTACTCCGTCTGCTCTATAGACAGTAGGTCAGGGGAAAGGAAGAGTGAATGGGGAGAAACCAGGTAGGAAGTACCTTTAAACTCCAAAAGACAGACCGTGGCAATTTGGACTAGAGTGGGAAAGTTGGGCAGCAGATTTGGAAAGAAACTGACACATTTTAAGTCTATTTTAGGCAGAATTAGAAGACTCTGTGATTATATGGAAGGGAGTATGAGAGGTGATTCTTTGCAAGACATATTTATGGAAATGGAGAGCCATAGCACTGGAGAAAGGTAGTGACTTCAGTGTGCCATCCAGTACGTAAACGACTCACAGACATCCAAATGGAGACGTCAGGACTCTAAATGGGGAAAATGCTGAAGGCCAACGTCTGGAGCACAGTCACGCATCACTTAATGACAAGAATATATTCTGAGAGATGTATCATTAAGTGATTCTGTTACTGTGTGAGCATCATAGAGTGTACTTGCCCAAGCCAAGATGGTATAAGCTGATGCACACCTAGGCTGTGTGGTACAGCCTATTGCTCCTAAGCTACACATCTTTGCAGCACATTACTGTACGGAATACTGCAGGCAATTGTAGCACAATGGTATTTGTGTATCTAAACATAGGTAAGGTACAGTAAAAATATGGTATTACAATCTTATAGAACCATCATCATATACGGGGTCCATCACTGACCAAAACGTTATGTGACGCACAACTGTCATTCTAAATAGAATCTTCTGGGCATCCATTATCTAATTCCTCAAAAGCAAACTGTCTTCTATCAAGACTCTCATAGCAAGTCTAGTTCTTTGCTCTTTTGTAACCAGGGAAATGTGATCATCAAAACACAAACCAACATTTTGTGAAGAAAGGATCTTGAATAAATACGTGTATCTTTGGTGTTTTTTGAAATCGAGACAGTGTCACAACTCAGCCATCATTTTTCACCCTGACACGACAATTTGATTATACTTTCCTCCCTGCTCATCTTTTTGTTTGTTGTAATCTCTCCACATGAGCAAGTTGATGAGCCTATCGAGGGAGTATGTGGTCGTTGTGTGATAGCTTCAGCAGGACACACTTACAATTAGGGCCCAATCTAGGAATTATGATGCGTGCAAGCATTGCTCTGATAATAAATAGTACATGACACTTGCAAAAATAGTTGACCAGAAACCATCTGCTCAGAGCCGCAGTGGAGCAGAAGCCCAGGGCGAGGGGCGGTCCTCAGAGCATGCGCCTGTTGGCCGAGGAACCCAAAGCCCTTGGAGGCAGAGCAGAAAGGACAAAAACAGGACAGGACAGAGGCAGGCATGAGTTCAAGCCTTCTGAATTCCAGATCACTTACCTTGTACACCCCAGCCCCTCCTTTCACTTCATCAAAGCCCAAAAATGAGCTTCCCTCTGTTCAGCAGCCAATCTTGAGGGTCTAAGAACACCCTGGAGTTGGTTCAACCTGCAGATTCCCACCTTTTCGTCACCCGCGGGATGCTTGGAGTCAGCCACCTGGGGTGCGCTGGGGAGTCTGCACTCACAATGACTGAAGGTGATTTGGATGCAGTTGATTCTCAGATGTTTGGTCTCGACTTGAGCATCTATTTTTCCTTTGTGATGCTAGTTTTGACTGACTGCCAAGATTTAGATGAGCTGTCAAATTCTCTCAGGCCCCCGCTCCTCGGTGCCCCCGTTTACCCCTTTTAATTGATTGGTCTGAAGGTCCCTGGCCTATGGAAACTTTTGACTCGTCTTTATCCAAGCTCTGACAGGCCTCTCTGTGGGATGAGCAGCTTCTCCAAATGGCCGCAGATCTTTGTTTAGGTGCACCCAGGCTGCTGCAAGTGAACCTACAGCCGCGGCGGGGGGCATGGGGGCTGGGCCGTAGGCCAGCTTCACAGGGACAGTGGAACTCAGAAGGGGGCTTCCAAGACCACCTGCTAGTAAGGGTGGACATCGGGGCAGAAGTGTGACTGCAGGTGGAGGCCGGGGCGGGACAGGAGGTGGGCTGGGGTGTCAGTTGGTACAGGGCGGATGGCTCCCTCCCCCTAGACTTTCTGCAGGGGGCACCCTGTCCTTCGACGCTCCATGACTTTACCCAGTGACTCCATTACTGCGCCCCACTGACGACAGCATTGACTCATCGCAGAGACAAAGTAGCTTCTGTTTTGAGTCTCCAGTTTGTGCTGCACAGCCTGGGGGAGAAGCTTTCCAGTCACCTGGGGAGATCGCACGTTGCCTCTGGCCCAGGGTTGGCCTTGATGTTGTTGCTGGAAGACAAAAGGGCCTTCCGCGACACAGGGGCCAGTGGAGAGCCGTGGTCAGCTTCCGTTCTGGCTCTGGATTTCTAAGTCCTTTCATTGCTCTTCTCTGGAAAGAGTGACTGTTCTGGGGACATCTGCGTGTCTGAGGTTTTTCCTGCTAGTCAGACTTTCATTTGGAAATGTCAGCTGGAGCAACTTCCAGGTGCAAGAGTCTGGTTCCCAGGCTGGCTTCTCCCTGGGTGCCTGGGCGTCTGCCTGTGTCTCAGGCACACACAGCTCTGGACATACAGAGGAAACAGCAGGAACTGGCTTCTGTGCATCAATCAGATCCAAACCCTGGTGTAGAGGAAAGGCCACATCCAGGCAGAGAGGACAGGGGCAGGCAGGCAGTCATGCAGACTAGTCCCCTCAAAGTGCTATTGGGCTGGTGAATGGGCCAGTTGACCACCATCTGAAGTCTGGCCCCCATCTTGCTGCTTCAGGGACCAAAAGCCCTTTGGACTGGTGATGTTGACTCACCCTAGCAAAACTCACTAGAAAATAAGAACGGTGTTTTCTTTTTCTTTTCTTTTTTTTTTAGAATGAGAAATTTAACTGTCAGGTGGACCAGATGTTCACATCGGCCTGACACTTTCCCTCCCTGTGGGCAAGCTATATGGGGAGCTAAATACGGAAATGCCTTTTGGAGGGAATGGAACTAGAGAACAGAGAGCTATGTTTTAAGGGAACCTGGGATTTGTTTTACTTAGGGATGGTGAGACACACAGAAATGGAAATGACTGTCATGAAGGAAAAAGTTCATACTCACAGGTCCTTAGAAACAGGAAACACAGCACGCAGGGCCAAGCGGGAAGCACCAGGGTCGGTCCGAAAGCAGAGCAGGAAGGAGGGAAGTGTGAGCGGGAGCCTTTATTGTTGTTTCCAAGGGAAGGAGAGGGTAAGACAACGTAAGCTGGCTTAGGATGGGCTAGTTTGAATATTTCAGGACTCTGGGTTGTAGGAGCTGTTCCTGGTTGTCTGGTACCTGGCCCTGGGATGATTAGGGTAGGGGATAGTGGTCCACAGTGTGAGAGCCCCACAGAGGGGGTGGTTGGGAGTGTGGGCTCTGGATGGGTTGGTTTGTATTTGAAAGGCATGATTGTGGGTGAGTTGTTATCTATCCCCAGAAATTGACGAACCCTAAAAGGGGCAGTCCCTCCAGGATCAGCAAGAACCCCAGATGTCAAAGCATCAAAAATACAGAATAAAAAGACACAAGGGATTCATACAATACATAACTTCTGTATTTATATGCATATATGAAAGATTTGAATGTTAAAAGAGTCAATGAGTTCATTCCACAAACACTCATCAAATACCTACATTGCATGAGGCCCTGTGAACAAGTTAGATACATTGTTCCTGCTTTCTTGGAGCTCAGAGTTTAGCATCAGTCTCCAAAATCCCAGGAAGTCTCACCTTCAAAATAAGGATATACCTGACAGGTGGATCAGACGCACTGTTGCCAAGCAGAGCCCTTCCTGATGAGCACTGCCCATGTGTGACTGTCTCTCCTTCCTCCAGCTTTCCATTCTCGTTCATCCATTTCTGAAGGACATAGTCCTTGCTTACATGGGTTGATACAACCAATTAAGTCGTAGACCACCCTTTCTGGCCTGGTAGGCTTTCGAGTTCTTTGAGTGACTTTCCTATCTCAGTTCTGATCGGTCTTGCGCCAATTTCATGGTTTCAAGGACATTTTTACAAGAACTGTCTTCAGGCTGGTTTCACACATCCTAAGAAAGAAAAATTGGGAAACTGATTGCAATGTATGGTTTCTTAGGTGAAGATGTCGCAGAATCACACCGATTCCCACTGTCCCAGGGAGTAAATCCTCATCACTCTCCCCAAGTATGGCTTTCTGAGGGTACAAGAGAGAGACACTGGAATAAAATCTCCATCTCCAGCCACTGTGGATTTGGAGCCTATCCCGGGGAGGCTGTGTGTCTTCAAGAACCTCTGACAGACACATTTTTTATATACACAGCCCCATTATCTAAAGAGAGGGCCAACATTAGCACAGTGCAATATGAAGATTATTTTAGCCTTTGTCATCTCACAGATCCAGTTCTACAAGGTGGTTTTTAGGTATTTTGTAGCTCAAAATACAGTTTTCCCTAAGAACACTGTTATAAAATATGGGCTCCCAGGCTGGTTCCCCAGAAACTACTTTACTTTCCCAAGGAAATCCAAATTTGGAGGTGAGAATCTTAAGCAAGAAGTATGCAATTACCTGAGATGAAAATCCCAGTACAGAGCCAAGCAGCCAGGGGAGTGAGGCCATCAGTACAGAAACATCCAGGACCACATCAGGGAAGGCCCCTGGATCACACAGTGAGGAGGTGTCACCACGTGCCACTATCTGCAAACTGGGAGTCTGATGATGTAAAAACATGAAACACGGGTATCTTCCATGGGGCCAGTCCTACCACAAGGAGGCAAGTCTTGTTTTTAGCACTTACCATCAATATTCCCCATCAGCATCACAGTATTCTTCCCTGGGCTCTCCACTCCCTGCTAAATATCCGTTATCGTGTCAGCTAGGATTGCATTTGGGCTGTACAAGACAGAAAATCTCAGATAAGCTTAAATAACACAATAAGACTTCTTTCTCCCCCATGTAAAAAAGCAATTATCGTGGCCAGAAGTGCAGAGCAATCATGGTTCCAGGAAATCCACCAGCCCCCAGACTCCTCTTCTATCCAGAGCTTGCGACCCTCGTTCCCATCTTCCAGGGAAGTCACCGCAGCTCTGGCCATCAGCAGGGTGCCCTGGGCAGCAGGAGGAGTGGCAAGAACAAAGGTACCCTCTTCTCCCAGGTGGTCCACTCTTTCTATTTATGTCTCATTGGCCACAACTAACAACAAGAGAACGTTGGAGATAATCTTTTAGCTGAGCACCTTGTCCACCAAGTCCAATTAGGGCTCTGTCACTTAGGAGGAAGGAGAGAATGGTTGTTGATGTGGACAACCAGTAGTCTCTGCCACAGGGAACATGTGAGTACGATTTCTTATGTTGGCCGGGTGTGGTGGCTCACATCTCTCATCCCAGCACTTTGGGAGGCCGAGGCAGGTGGATCACGAGGTCAGGAGTTCAAGACCAGCCTGGCCAAGAGGTGAAATCCCGTCTCTACTAAAAATATAAAAATTAGCCGGGTGTTGGTGGCAGGTGCCTGTAATCCCAGCTACTTGGGAGGCTGAGGCAGAGAACTGCTTGAACCTGGGAGACAGAGGTTGCAGTGATCCAAGATCGTGCCATTGCACTCCAGCCTGGGCGACAGAGCGAGACTCCGTCTCAAAAAAAAAGAAAAAAATTATTATGTTAATGTCATCAGCCACAGCTGGGGTAAGAGTAACAGCTACCATTTATTACTTACTCTGCTTGTACAGGGTACAAAACTAAGCATTTCAAATACATTCTTTTTTAATTCTCATAGGGATTCTATGAATCAGGCAATTATGATCCCAGGTTAGTGATGTGGAAACTGGGGCCCATAGTACACACCAGTAGATGGTAGAGCTGGGATGTGAATTCCGTGAATCTCACCTTCTCTGAGACCTGTGAATATCTATAACTGTGATGGCGGCAGCCATTGTGTTTCCCAAGATTCGGGCCTGCCTGTGCAGGACGGGGGCTGTCGTGGCTGGTGGCAGGAGATGTGCGAGCTTCCTATGGCTGAACGTGGGCGTCACCTTGTTCCACCCTTGACTGGAGCTTGCCTTCCTGCCGGGGCAGGGCTCAGTGGAGAATCTGACTCTCTGCAATCCCCTTGCCATGGTTTGGCTCTCATGGGCTCACATGGTGCCAGCTTGTCAATCCTGTTTTCTTTCTGTGTCTGCCATTGGTGGTTCCAATTACATCGTTCTTGTCCTGGGCAGAGAAAAGGACACGAACAGCAGCCCCTGCCAAATTAGAAATGTGCTGCTTTGCTAGCAGAGGTCATAGATCAGAGCCAAAAATGGTGAACAGGAAACGGAGCTGGGGTGGAGACCAGGAGGGGAGCCCATAGACGGGGGATGCCACGTCTTTGGTTATAATGTTCACACACCAGCACAACACCTAGTGAGGGAGTCCAAGGTGGTGTTGGAGGTGACCTAATCCAACATCAGCCCTGGCCAATGGGTGAAATTATTATGACTATACCTACCTTGCAGACAGGAGCCTCAGATCAAAGAGATGCAGTCACTTACAGAAATCCATTCAAGTTAAAACGTGTGGGCTGGATTATTTCTACCACTCCAGAGATCAGGAGCAAGATCCGGAGTGAGGATCAGAGCCAAGCCTGGGGTCATAGAGGCGCAAACCCACTAGTGCAGCAAAGTAGAAACCAACAGAGAAGGTCAGTTCACAAGTTGGTTTACCTCTGTATTCTCCAGAATACCCAGCCCAGGCCTAGGCACTTAGAATACAATGGATATTGTGTTCTAATCACACCATTTTTCTGTGACCTTTGGCTTCACTGAGCTTTCACTGATCTTCATTGCCAAATGGAAAAGGAGTGAGTCAGCCTTCCTTTCCCGCCCACCGCCCCGACAATGTTAACACAATGATCCTAAGAGACTCAAATAAAAGCTATGAGCCTGCTGGGAAATTATACCCAATGAGCTCTTACAACTGGCCAGACATTTGAAATACAGTCTCTAATTTCATCCTCAGCAGAACATCATGAATTTTATATGATTATATAAACTTTACCAATGAAGGGCCAGTAGCTCTGAAAGGTTAAGCAATTTGTCTAAAGACACATAGCAGAATTCGACTCAAAATAGTTTTTACACTAAAGTCCACATATTTCTCTTTTTTCCTCTTTCCCTTATTATTATTTTCCTTATTATTATTAAAATAATAATGCTAAAATAATAGCATTATTATTTTAGTTCACAACAAACCTTGACTGAGCATCTAGCATATTCTAAGCACTGTAGATACAGTGGTCAATAAGATACAATCCCTCCCCTTAAAATAAGATTGCTTATGGATTCATGCAAAGAAGAATAGCTTGCGCAGGGCGTGGTGACTCACATTTGTAGTCCCAGCCCTTTGGGATACCCGGGGGGAGGATTGCTTGAGTCCAGGAGTTCAAGGCTGCAGTGAGCTATGATGGTTCCACTGCACTCCAGCCTGGGTGACAGAGTGAGACCCTGTCTCAAAAAAAAAAAAAAAATAGTTTAAGTAAACATGATACAGTTTTATGAGTGCTGGCCAATGTGTGATCAAGCATGACGGTCTCTGGAAGTTCTCCCTTCACTAAAGGGAGAACTTACAAGACCCATGAGTAAAAACAAGCAGCAAATCCCCGTGCCTCTTGTAGGGTGCAGGGCCAGTTTACAGGCTGGATTTTGCAGACAGAAGGTTGATCTGAAGTGAATATGTTTGCACAGTTGCCTTGGAAAGGTGCCTGGGGCACTGGCTCTGCCCGGAGCTGGCTGGTGGAAGGAAGAGCGTGCACAAGCTCCCTGTCCCTTCCTTTCCACAGCCTCTGCTGTCTTGTCAAACCACACAGCCAGCCTGTGAGGAGGACGGGGGGACACATCAGGGAGCCTGAGGCCTCACCTGAGGGCCCGCTGCTCCTGCTAACCCGAGTCAGGTACACTTGGCCTGCACAGCCTCTGAAACCTGAGAACTGCAAAGTCAAAGCAGCTTATGTCGAGAAGATTCCTTTTTGCTTCTCAAAGGAATAGCAGGGCTGTCTTTGACTCCTCTGTTGGGCTCCAGGCCCAAGGGTGAGGCCCAGCTCCTTCAGGGACCAGGCAGGGGGCTGTCTGTGGGAACCACTTTTCCAGAGGCCCTGCTGGGCTTCCCAGGGAAGGCAGCCTACCTGAGTGCTCCCAGGAGCCGGCATTTACTCCCAGCCAGGGCCTGGTAGGGAGGGGCGACAGTATCTGTGCAGTTGTTATTCCTTGAGGCATTTCCCATCGTTTCAAACGTTACCCAGGGTGTTCTTTTACAGAACAAATAGCAACTGGTCTCATACGTGAGCTGGGGAGGGCAGTTGAGAAGGAAATCTGAGTCAGGGTTTTAGCTCACAAAATTAAACTGGAAGAAATCATCAGCTTGTTGCCAAGCCATTTTATCGAGCCCAAGACCTAGTTGCTAAGTGGCCGGACCCATGGAGCTTTGCCACCTCCTCTCCCCGCTCCTCCCTCTTTATGCAGTGGCCACTCTCACGACCCCTCAGAGCTCCGTGGAGACTCTGACAACAAGGAAGTCAACTCCCAGCCTGGGAATGAGCACTGGGGAGAGGGGGTAGCGGGGAGGGTTGTAGGAGACAATGTACAGCCAGGAGGGACGCACAGGACAAACCAGATAGTACCAAGGGGATGGTCATTCCATCTCCCAGCTGCCCAGGCTGACTCTGCAATGTGGGAGGCTCCTAGGGACAGCTGCACTCTTGTAGGGGCTGGGACCTTGGAGAGTTGGGCTCCGTTTGCCCCTCTCAGCCTTGCTTTTGGAAGATTGTTCCCTTTTTCAGACTTGGCCACATTCATCTGTCCCAGGGGCCAGCCATGTCTTTAGGTGGATGAACAAGACCTTGAAAGGGAACCACTTTGAAGGGAAGAAGAAACGGCCAATTTCGAGCCATCAATAGGACAACAATTGGCTTGCAAAAGTTCCAAATATTTATTAGTTGGCACATAGAGGGAGAGGCAGGCACCCAGGGCATTGTGGTGAGATTCACAGTTCCTTCCTGGAGGAGAAAGTGGATCTGTCATGGTAAACAGCAGGGTCAGCCTTTTGGCCATGTAACCACTGCAACAGCACAGGGGTTTCATGCCGTGTGGTTGCAGGCCTGCAATTCGTAATGATTGTCGTTTAGGACCTGTGTTTTGTGAGTGAAAGCTCATGGAACCGTGCAGCATGCACAGGGGCTTGCTTGGCCCCCTGTGGTCCTTCTGCTGCTGCCTCCCTGGGATGCCTCCTCTGGTGCTGGCTCCCCTGTTCCCTGGCACCATGTCCCATTTGGCTTCCCTTTTCCCCTCTCTCCCAGCAACCTTGGCCATCTTCCTGCCCAGTGGGGGCCTGAGGCAGGTGTGGGGACAGGAAAGGCTGGCAGACATGTTCCATATACCTTGGCCCAGGACATGGAGGTGTCTGTCCCCAGTTCAAGATGGTAGCTGCTGGTGACCCAGCACAGGGAAGCTTCTGGTTTACCCCTTATCCAGAAAGTGATCTTGGTCTTGGCCCACAGGTGTCATCCCTTGGGAGGAACCATGAACTGGAGTTCTGGTCCTATGGGAAGGGGAGAGTTCCTGCCTTGCCCCAGCTCAGGGATGGTACGTCAATGTGATGGCTGGGAGAAGGGCGCCCCCTCCTAGTAGCAGGATGGGGTCCACAGGAGCCTGAGATGATCTGTGCCCACAGGGCGACATCCCTGTCTCCATGAAGAAGATTTTAATGTCTTCTAATGTCTTAATTGGCTATTTAATAGCCAATTAAAAAAAAACCACCATGGCAAGTAAAGAGAAAAAGAGAGAGACAGAGGGAGAGAGGAAATGATCTGTATCGTAGTATCTATAACAGCACTCATTTTCTGCTTTTTGAGCAAGGAGCCCTGAATTTTCACTTCACACTGGGCTACAAATTATGCAGCTGGCCCTGGTGAGCACGGCCTTGGGGACCTTGACCAACAAAGCTGGCCTTGCCACTTCATCTTATTCTCTTTTAACAAAATGGTTATAGTCAAACTATGCACTCAGAGCAGCAGCCAGCCAACCCTGGTGACTGACCTGGTGCCTAGTGGAAAGCACAGACACGCTTCCTTCCCAGATTTAGTCCTGTCTCCAGAAGTTGCCTGGGAGATGCTTCAGGGAGCAGAAACACTGCAGTGAACATTGGCCAATGGCTTCTTTCAAGATGATCATTTCAAGTCGAGACCCTGATTTTGCTTTCTGAATGGAGGTTGGTAGAGAGGCAAAGGGCTAAACTCCTTCAAGTAGTGGGTAAGAAGGTTCTACACCAACTGCCTGAGCTCAGCCACGGTGGAGCGGGGAGGCACCCATCATGGGCCAGAATCAAGCACAACTCTTACTTGTAATATCTCCTGGATTATCAGCAGCAGTGGAAGACGAGGGAGTAGGGGAGACAGAGTAGATAAACAATGCTTTGATCTGAGTCCATAAAAATGCATGGAATCTTTCAGGCTGAACTTCTTTCCTTTCTTTCTCTTTTAATGGACCTCAGGTGCACAGCATTGACTTGACCACACTCCTACATTCAAAGCAAACTTAGACCCATGAAAAGCCCTTCTTTTGCCTTCTTTTATTTTACTTTTCTCCTCTTTAGTTCTAACCCTCCACCCCACACACCCCACCCCACCCACCCTTCGGCACTTTGCCACATTCATGAGGTGGCTATCATCCATCCCCTCATGTATGAATTTATACATATTTATATTTACAGAAAATATGCTTTGTTCTTTTGTGGTTTGTTGTTTCAAATAATGTCAACATAGCATTACAATATCAATCTCTTCCTTTTACTCACTTTCGCACTTAACAGTATGTTTTTGAGGCGTAATCATTGGCTCTCTGCAGACAGAGTTTCTGGCTTCCGATTGCTGCAAGAAATCTGGTGCTGTTAAGAGCTCACATTGACTGTCCCTCTAGTGAGGACACCTCGGCCACCCAGCAGAAGCAGCGCCATGATGAATATCCTGAGACATGCTCCTTTGTGCACAGAGGTGCATATTTCTTTTGATATACACACATATACATATATATAGATATGCAAAGATGTGTAATATGATATTTCTCTCCTGAATTTCACTTAACACTGCCTGGCTGCTTTCCAAATGGCTGCACTAGTCCACACACCAACGAGCTCCCATTCCTCCCACATCCTCACCACCAATTGCTTTTTCTCCAGCATTCTAGCTCCGGCCAACTGGTGCGGGGAATTTGTATTTCTCTGATATTTTAATCTGTACTGCTCTCATTGCTGGTGAGGTTGAGAATCTCTTCATATGCTCATTAGCCTTTGAGCTTCTCCCTCTGTGACAGGCCTGCTCGTATGCATCGCCTATTTTTCTATTGTATTAATCTTCTTTTTCTGTGTGATTTACAAAAGTTCTTTATGGTTTCTGAATACCAGGCTTTTGTCAGGTATAGAAAGCGCCTGGAATCCCAGCACTTTGGGAGGATGAGGTGGGTGGATCACGAGGTCAGGAGATTGAGACCATCCTGGCTAACACAGTGAAACCCCATCTCTACTAAAAATACAAAAAATTAGCCAGGCGTGGTGGCATGCATCTGTAGTCCCAGCTACTTGGGAAGCTGAGGCAGGAGAATCACTTGAACCCGGGAGGCAGAGGTTGCAGTGAGCTGAGATCGCACCACTGCACTCCAGCCTGGGCGACACAGTAAGACTCGGTCCACAAAAAAAAAAAAAAAAAAAGAAAAGAAAAAGAAAAAGAAAATGGATATGTTTTCTCCTGTCTGTTCATCCAGTCTCTGTTGCTAGTTACTGAACAGAAATCTTTAGTAAAGCCAGTGACATCATTTTTCTTGTGTTTTTTTTGGACTTTTTTTAATAAAGATTTTCCTCATCAAGACTCTAAAGATATTCTTCTGCATTTTCTCCCAGTTTTATAGTTTTAAAGCTTTCTTCTAGCTTTATAACTTTGCCTTTATAGTTAGGCATGTAATGAATTGGGAGTCTTAAAAATTTTAATTTTGTGGAGTACTGGATTGGGTTTCTATGATTCTATTTCACACCAACAGAAAAAGTGGGAATGAATCACCAGGGAAAGGGCTGGGACATGGCCACTGCCCCAGAGTTTAGTGTGCAACCCTTCGTCCAGCTCAGAGGATCCGGAGCCTCTTCCCTCAGCCACACAAATGTGCTACGTGTCAAATGGCTCATGTGTTTGGGAAGCCAGTGGGTGTGTGAGGAGGGAGGTAGCACAGAGGAGATGGTGCTGAGCTATAGGAGGAAGGCATGGCTGGGCTTTATTTTGAGGCAGAGGATAGCACCAGAAGCCGTTTTATTTATTTATTATTTATTTTTGAGAGGGAGTCTCACTCTATTGCCCAGGCTGGAGTGCAGTGGTACAATCTCGGCTCACTGTAACCCCCGCCTCCTGGGTTCAAGTGATTCTCCTGCCTCAGCCTCCCAAGTAGCTCAGATTACAGGTGTCCGTCATCATGGCTGGCTAATTTTTGTATTTTAGTAGAGATGGGGTTTCACCATGTTGGTCAGGCTGGTCTCAAACTTCTGACCTCAAATGATCCACCTGCCTTGGCTTCCCAAAGTGCTGGGATTACAGGTGTGAGCCACCACGCCCGGCCTCCAGAAGCATTTTAATCAGGAGCTTGGCAAGGAAGGAAGGATGTGTCACAGCGCCCTGGTGCCGGAAGCGTGGTATGGGGGTGGCTGGGTTGGGGGAATGGATAGTTCAGGAGACCACTCAGGAGTTGGGTGCTGTGTTCAGGTGGGCACTGGTGAGGGCTTGAAAGAAAGGATGAAAGCTGGAGGACACAATTTCATGGTATTTGGGAAGTGAGAGCACCACCACCACCAACAGTGTATCTTGGCAATGAACTCGACGCAGACAGTGAGGGAGAGGCCGTAACCTAGGCTGACTCAGAGATTCCTGGGCAGGGCACCTGGTAGATGGCTGTCACCCACCGCTATGGAATGAGAACGCAGAACATGAACCGTTTTGGAAGTGGGTGGAGGATATTGCTGGGTTTCTGTCTTGGTCTGTCTGGTTGAGCTGCTGTCACAAATGTGCCAAAGCCCGAGTGGCTTAAGCAACACACATTTATTGCTCACAGTTCTGGGGGCTGGACATCCCAAGTCAAGGTGCAGCAGATCTGGTGTCGGGTGGGGGTGCACTTCCTGGTTTACAGAGGGCATCTTCTTACTGCGTCCTTATATGGCATAGAGAGCAAGCCCTTGGCTCTTCATCCCTTTATGGGGAACCACTCCCATCACGAGGGATCCAGTCCCACGACCTCATCCAAACACAATTGCCTCCCAAAGGCCCTGCCTCCAAATGCCACTACATTAGGGCCTTAATGTACGAATTTGGGGGTGGGGAGAAGAAGCCTTCAGTCCCGGGCAGTGTCCTACCTAGCACAGATTCTCTCCTCCAAGCACTGATTCTCTCCTACTTAGCACGGATTCTCTTCTACCCTTCAGAACAGTCCTCACATTCTAGTCTGGGTAGTCACCTTGTCCACTATGCTCCCTGTGCTTTGGGGAAGCTGACTCCAGGTCTAAGTTTCAAGGGGGCCTCTGAGAGTCTTAAGTGAATCCTCCATCCTTGCCTGCTGTGATGAGCTCATGAGGGTGTGGTCTAAGTCGGCGCAATCAGAGAAGACCTTAGGACTTCTGCTTGACTCTTGAAGCAGAAACATGGGCTCATTCTCATGCTCTGTTATCTCTTCCTGTCCTTTTCTCTCTGTCTCTCCTCCCTCTCCCTTCTTCTCTCTCCTCCCCTCTCTCTCCCCACCCCCACCTCTCTGTCTTTCTGTCTCTGTGTTTTCTCTCTCCTTCTCTGTCTTTTTTTTTTTCTCTTCTCTCTTCTCTCTCTCTCTGGAGGTGGAGAAGAAAGGAGGCCCATCCTGGATAGCCATCCTGGGAGCAGGCAGAGAGCCAGCCTGAGGATGAGGCTGAGGTCATCGAAGACACAACAGATAAGTGGCAGAAACCAGGGCTTTGGGGGCATGATTATCCTACCAGAGGAAACCAGCTCTGAAGCCTGCTGATCTCCAGTTCCTGTTCTGTAAGCCAAAAATCCCCCTTAGAATTCAAATTTATTTGAACTGAGTGTCTGTTAATTGCTACTGGAAGCATACTGTCTGACACAGAAGAGGAGAATTCTGGTTTTGAAATAATGAGCATGAACTGGGACACTGAAGTAGAGACAGTGGTCCAGGTAATACAAAATTTCCACGACAGAGGGAAGAGAAGCATGCCAACTCTTGCCAGCAGACGGTGGTTTGTACAAGTGGCTTCAAAACCTTAGGAGCAGGCTGCAGGAGTGACTCCTGGAGCAAGTCCACAGAGCCAGTGTAGAAAAGGAGGTGCAGGGTACCCCAGTCAGGGAGCTGGAGTCACGCAGCCCACCTGACCACTGGCTCCAGCGTCTCCACCCTTAGCTATGATTCAGGGACCATGGGGTCCAGCATCCTGCCTGCCACACCTACAGCAACCAGTGGATACTTCCTGCACTGCTACCTTTTGCCCACATGACTGAGCTCCGAATTGCATTGCGTGGGGACTGATTGGTAGCATTTAAGTTGTATCTGCAACTCTCGCTGCTGAGGATGCAGTGTTGGGTGTTCTGCCTGTGCAGTACAGAGCTCTTCTCAGGAGGTGGTGAGTCAGCCCATCTGCACTTCCCGCAGGGCTGTGGGAGAGTTAGGGCAAAGAGCTGGGACTAGCAGGGCCCTGGGCAGGAATGAGCACTCCCCACGCAGAGACTGTGGGAGGCCACAAACACAGAGAGAGGCCAACTTCGGCAGAGTGGCCAAAGGAGAGGTGCAGGGAAGGCGGCAGGCAAGAGTGGGCAGAGCCACGCACGGCCAAGTGTCCTGGGATGGGGGGGCACCACGTTTCCAGGAGGGACTATGTCACCCTGCCAATGCCGTGGGAGGGCAAGGAGAAGATCTGAAAAATTCAACTTCATCAGTACCATGTGCCAGTGCATGGAGATGTATAGTGAAAGCTATTGCACTCTATTTTTTTTTTTTTTTTTTTTGAGATGGAGTCTTACTCTGTCACCCAGGCTGAAGTGCAGTGGTGCGATCTCGGCTCACTGCAACCTCTGACTCCCTGGTTCAAGCAATTCTCCTGTCTCAGCCTCCCGAGTAGCTGGGATTACAGGCACGTGCCACCAAGCCCAGCTAATTTTTTTTGTATTTTTAGTAGAGACAGGGTTTCACCATGTTGGCCAGGATGATCTCGATCTCCTGATCTCGTGATCCGCCTGCCTCAGCCTCCCATCGTGCTGGGATTACAGGCGTGAGCCACGGCACCTGGCCCTTGCGCTCTATTTTTATTGAAATTCCATGTCTATTTGTTTTAGCAGCTGGTAGGCTTCTGGTGGCCCTCATCAGAACCCTCAGGCTTAGGTGAGTGGTAGAAATAGAGGCTGGTTACTGGGTGCCTCAGGTGGGTATGCAGGCAATGTAGACAGCAGGTGTAGACAGTGTGGAAATGAGTGGGTGGAGAGGGAGCCACAGAGGACATCACACATTCGGTGCCTACTTCCAAGTGTGAGAGAAGCTCCCTTGGAGAGATGCCTGCATCCCTAGGGCCCAGGGCCCCGGCGACATTTGCCAGTGCTCTGGTGTTTCGAACGTCCATGGTGCAGACTAAGACCGTATGTGGCACAGGAGATGCCACCCTGAGTGAGGAGAGGAAGGAAGGTCACGACCTGGGGTTCCGCAGTCTGACAGGACTGAGGTCACACCTGTCCCTGGAGCCAAGTGCAGCTTTTCACTCGGCCACACAGCACATTCTCTGGGAAGGGATCATGGGATCACTGTCAGCTGTCAAAGCAGCAACGCCTGCTCAAGGCTCAGCCCTCTCCAGATCACTGTTCCTGTCTTACCTTCCAAAGTCTGGCCAATCAACCTCAAAACAGTGCACTGTTAGGGCCCAGCCTAGCTAATGGTAGATCCCACTTGGAGGGGTGAAAAGAACCGGGAGCCCATGCCAGGAAACTCTCAGTTGCTCGTGATATCCCTTCTACTACTCAGGTGAGCATGGACTCTCAGCAGGGCCAGCACTTTCAGCTCCTTCTAGCAGAAGTGACTCTGTGGAAGATGGCTGAACACATCCGGCTGGGAACCCCTGTGGGATATTAGGTCACCCTGGCTGGCTCAGGCTTCCTGGGTGTGAATGTGACTGAGTGTGGTGCAGGATGCGGGGCAAACAGAAAACAGCGGCCAGGGAAACCCTTTACAGACACCTGCATAAATCAGGCACAGGCCCACAGATTGCTTTTATTTGCCAGGTTGAAAAATTTGAAACTTGGAGAGGGGAAAATGTTTCTTCTGTGGGCATTTACACTGGGAAAAGAGATGGGCTAGCATCCTTTAAAAGGATTTGGTCCCCATGTTGGGCTCCTCTGTGCCTCTTTTCAGGGCTCTGAGGATGCTCTAGCTGTCTGCCTAGCTGAGGTTAGCAAGGTCCCGGAAGCCGGGTCTCTTCTGAGGCCCTGGCTTTTCTAGGGGCAGAGCAAGGGCTGGCCATCTGGAGTCTGTCCTGTGCCCCCCTCAAAGGTCCAGCTCTTCTCATCTGACCTGGCCTTTATGACCCGGCAGGGCAGGGGCTGCAGACACACAGGGGGCAGCCCAAGTTGGATCCACCTGCCCAGGTGCACTTTGCCATGCCTTGGGGTTCTCAGCTTAAACTCGTGTCTAGCCTGCCTTCCACAGTCACACTGGGTTTCTGCTGATGATGCCCAGCATGCCCCAGCAGACACACACATGAGCTGACTCCGGACCATCTGCTTGGCCAGTGGTTTCCACCAGTGCTGGAAACCAGGCACTTGTGGATTTCAACAGTTGTATTAGTCCATTGCCTTTGTGCACTTCGGCAGAAAACAAAAATGCTTTTTCTAAGTTATTACCTGTATTACATTCCTTTGATTCCTGGCAACCACAGAGTTAGATGGTATCAACACCTCTTCATTTCTTTCCTATCACACCTGGAAAGAGGTCCTGGTCCTTTTACATCTTAGCAACATGGCTGTAGTGAAGATGAAGACTAGATAAGCTGTAGAGTTAAGACACAGGCATATGGCCGGGCGCGGTGGCTCACGCCTGTAATCTCAGCACTTTGGGAGGCCGAGGCAGACAGATCGCCTGAGGTCAGGAATTTGAGACCAGCCTGACCAACATGGTGAAACCCAGTCTGTACTAAAAATACAAAAATTAGCTGGGCATGGTGGTGCGTGCCTGTAGTCCTAGCTACTTGGGAGGCTGAGGAACGAGAATTGCTTGAACCCAGGAGGCCGAGGTTACAGTGAGCCGAGATGGTGCCACTGCACTCCAGCCTGGTGACAGAGTGAGACTCTGTCTCAAAAGTAAATAAATAAAAATAAAAGACACAGGCATGTTTGCCTTTTAGTACCCGGCTCTGGTACTCCTTCCTCTCTGCAGCCCCTCTCCATACCCACTTGCTGCTCCCCTGCTGCTTGTGTTACTTTGCACTCCAAGACAAATGGTGATGCCCCTGTTGATAAAGTCTTCTCCTTCACCCACTACCGCCTCCTTAGAGGCTGTCTCATGCTGTATTCCCAATGCCCTGCACAGTGTCTGCCCCATAACAGGTATTCACCATAGTCTCTGGGGAGAAAGAGGAGGAGGGGAAGGAAGTGAGCGTTATAATTTGGGGCTAGGAGTTACATTGCAGTGTAATATAACCAACAAATGTCAGTTATGGGACAAAGCTCTGGTGAGTTCTAAAATAGTACTTGAGAATACTGTTTGTAAATGATCTCTTCTTAGAGAAAAAGAATCTTCAAAGATGATCTTAGATATCCCAATTCTGCTGAGTAAGGAAAAATAAAGTCCTGACAGCAGATTTTCCTTCTAGGATTTTCACGTAATTGACAATAAATTATAGGCCCAATGGTCACTCCTGAAAAGCTTAGGCTGCAGCCATGTGGCTGCTCACGGCCACCATGCAAATGGAAAATGGGCACAGGGCATCTGTAGCAAGCATAGACTCCTTCTCAGTCTTCTTTCTCTCCAGCCGGACCCTGTCCCTTCTCCTAACCTCAACATCGGGACACTTGGCAAAGGACAGCAAGGATCTGTGGGGTTCTAGACCCTGTTCAGGAGCCGTCTAAGACAGTTTACCTCCTCACTTCAAAACAGATTCATGGCCTCAGCAGCGGGGTCAGCGGGGATCAGTGAGCACTCAGTCCATCCTCCCTTTCTGCCAAGGCTGGCCAGCTGAAAGGAGGCAGCTTTGTAGGAAGTGCACATCCACTGTCTCTATAGCACTCAAGGGTCCCAATCACCTGGGCATGGCGGCTCATGCCCATAATCCCAGAGCTTTAGAAAGCCAAGGCAAGAGTATCTTTTGAGCCCAGGAGTTCAAGACCAGCCTAGGCAACATAATGAAACCACATTTCTACAAAATAATTTAAACATTAGTCTGGTATGGTGGTGCGTGCCTGTAGCCCCAGCTACTTGGGAGGCTGAGGGAGGAGGATGGCCTGAGCCCAGAAGTCCAAGGCTGCAGTGAGCTATGATTGTGCCACTGCACTCCAGCCTTGGTGACAAGTTGAGACCCTGTCTCTTAAAAAAAAAAAAAAAAAAAAAGGCACTGGCCAGGGCGCTGTGGCTCATGCCTATAATCCCAACACTTTGGGAGGCTGAGGAGGGTGGATCACCTGAGGTCAAGAGTTCGAGACCAGCCTGGCCAACATGGTGAAACCCCGTCTCTACGAAAACTACAAAAACTAGCCGGGCGTGGTGGTGAATGCCTGTAATCCCAGCTACTAGGGAGCCTGAGGCAGGAGAATTGCTTGAACCCGGGAGGTGGAGGTTGCATTGAGCTGAGATAACACCACTGGACAGAGTGAGACTCCATCTCCAAAAAAAAAAAAAAGCACCAACGCACACTTCCTGGTTCCCTAATAGCAAGCATAGGCTAGCATGAGCTCACAGACATTCTGTGAAGGCACAGAAAGGCGACTCAATTAGCCTTTTGAAAAGTGCTCATGGCACTGGTTAAACGTGACCTTTCCAGGTAAAGGTGCACAGGAGTTGGGCAAGTCAACATGAAGTTCCAAGAGGCTGAATGGGAGTAACTGAGCCCAGATCCAGTGTCCTCCATAAGCACAAATTTGATCTGCCTTCTCACTGGGCAGTCAGCTGCATGCATGCTGACCTGGATATTTCTCCCTTCTGAAGGCCAGAAAGGTGGGCAATGTCCCAGCACCTCTGAAATGGTCACATGGGGCCACGGGGAGTCTTAAGTCTCACCTGTTCTACACTTGTACCTTGCGTATGCTCTGGTGTTCGATGACCAGGGGAGATATTACTATGGGAGCCAGGCTGTAGGCAGGTCCAATAAAGTTGGGTTAATGGCAAAAGTTAGGTTTTCCTCAATAATTCCTCCTCTTAAAAGTATTCAATGATGCTTTCTTATTTTCACTTGTAGGTCTTGATTGTTCTGACTTGACTGAGATTAATAAAATCTTGAGTGCAGATATCCTTATCCAAATTGCAAACAGTGTCCTCTATTCACAAATACAATACTTCCTTTGATTCAACCAAAAAATAACTATCGGGGACCATGTTATAGATTTGATCTCACCTCTTCAACCGTATATCTAGAACTTAGTCTTCTATAAAGTGAAGGGATTGGTCTCCTCCAACTCTGTGGTTCTTCTTTCTTCCAGTGGGTACCAGGACTTCTCATAATGGCCTTTGTCTTTTCTTCTTTCCAAGCACTTTCTTCCCCACTGTGTCCAAGCTTCCCAATCCTCAAGCACCCCTGAAGCTATTCATATTTAATCTCTTCTCCTGCTGTCCTGGTGTCTGATCTCATTCTTTAGCTCATCCAACCTCAGTGTCCTACCAGATGCTCCCACTGCAGAGCTAAATGTTAAAATTTAGGGCCTGGAGCAAACACTTCAGTCATTCTTCCTTTTCTACACATTAATTACCAAATTAATCACTCTTCAGAGAGAGGTCTTCTTTTCCCCTGTTGATCCTCCTGCAGGCCCCCAGAGCAGAGCTCCATGGACTGACGTCTCCTCTCTCTGAATAGATGGCAATTGATCAAAGTCTGTCTGCTCTTTAACATCCAGAGAGCACTTCAGTGGTGTTTCTATATTTTCCTGCACTTGTTCCAACAGGTCTTTGTTTTTTGTGAGATTAAGCTTCCTTGTTTCCCTGTGCTTATCGACTCCAAGTCCTCACAAACTCACTCATTCAGGCCGCATTCCTATCTTTTTAAAATAAAATTATTTACTTTTAATTGTGATGAAATAGACATACATACAATTTACCATCTTAACCATTTAGAGTAGTACAATTCAGTGGTATGAAGTGCATTCACATTGTTCTGCAACTCTCCCCACCATCCATTTCCAGAACTCTTTTCATCTTCCCAAACTGAAACTCTGGACCCACAAAACAACTGCCCATTCCTTCTCCCCCTACCTGCTGGTGACCACCATTCTGTTACCTGTCTCTATGAATCTAACTACTGTACTACCTCATATAAGTGGAGTCATCCAGTATTTGTCCTTTTGTGACTGGATCATTTCACTGAGCATAACATCCTCAAAGTTCATCCACACTGTAGCACGTGTCAGATTTTCCTTCTATTTTAAGACTGAATAATATTCCATTGTATAGATAGACCGTATTTTGTTTATTCATCTACTGATGGACATCAGGGTTGCTTCCACATTTAGGCTATTGAGAATGATGCTGCCACAACACAGGTGTACAAATACCTCTTTCCTAAATTCTCTTGGGTTCATACCCAGAGGTGGAATTGCTGGATCATATGGTCAATTCTAAGCTTAATTTTTTGAGGAATCAATATATTTTCTATAGCAGCTGCACCATTTTACATTCTCACCAACAGTGCACCAGGGTTACAATTTCTCCACATCCTTGCTAACACTTACCACATCCCTATCCTTTTCATTTAAAATACAATTCATCACAAGCCATAATTCAGGAGGGAACAAGGCCATGCAAGATGAAGTCTCAGGGAAGAATAAAGGCAACAGGTTTCTATAAGAACCAACAGTTAGGCCGGGCGTGGTGGCTCACCCCTGTAATCCCAGCACTTTGGAAAGCTGAAGCAGGCAGATCACCTGAGGTCAGGAGTTCGAGACCAGCCTGGCCAACATGGTGAAACCCCGTCTGTACCAAAAATACAAAAGAAAATTTAGCTGGGCGTAGTGGCAGGCACCTGTATTCCCAGCTACTTGGGAGGCTGAGGCAGAAGAATTGCTTGATCCTGGGAGGTGGAGGTTGCAGTAAGCCCAGACTGTGCCACTGAACTCCAGCCTGGCCAACAGAGCGAGGCTCTGTCTCGAAAAATAAATAAATAAATAAATAAATAAATAAATACATAAATAAATAAATAAAATAAAGAACGAAGAGTTATTTTGGCAGGGCAGGGCAAGTCAAATTTTCCAACAGAAATATTAAAGATATTCTGTTGGACTATTCTGTATGTATTGGCAGCTACTTTTATAAATAAAATGTGTGTCTATAAATACACAAGTTTGATGTTCACATCCGTTAATGTAATGCATTTTTATGGCAGAACCACTTCACGCATCTAAGCACAATTCACAACTGCAAAAATATTATGGAACCAACCTAAATGTCCATCAGCCAACGAGTGGATAAAGAAAATGTGTTATATATATACACCATGGACTACTACTCAGCCATGAAATGGAACAAAATGGCCTTTACAGTGACTTGGATGAAGTTGGAGGTCATTATTCTAAGTGAAGTAACTTAGGAATGGAAAACCAAATATCATATGTTCTCATTTATAAGTGGGAGCTAAGCTGTGAGGAGGCAAAAGCGTAAGAATAATCTAATGGACTCTGGGGACACTCAAGGGGAAGGGTGGAGGATAAAAGACTACACATTCATGCAATGTACACTGCTCGGGTGATGGATGCACCAAACTCTCAGAAATCACCACTAAAGAACTTATCCATGTATCCAAAAACCACCTGCTCACTAAAACCTATTGAAATTAAAATAAAAAAAAATTGTTTATTTGGACAAGTGAAGGTGGGATTCCTTCAGAACCTTTCCTTATACAGCTACATTTTTGGATCTTAATACAATTTTTCTCTTGGAAATCAGTGTCACTGACAAGAATAATCCCTACCCAATGGGACAGTAAACAATGACAGTAGCCAAGACTCCCAGAAAATCTCAATTTTACATTTCAGGACAAATCACTTAGGTGGCTCTTGCTTTGAAAGAACAGAACAAGAACCTGTTAAATTAGGGAGAAAAACTTGGTTTCGAAGCTCCCATCTACCTTGGAATTCACATAAACAGTGTAGTCTACAGAAGCCAGTGTCATTAACTGGGTCACTACCAGGGCTCTCTCTACTCCCTCCCCTCCTCCCCCTTCACGATCATCTGAAGTCAAATAGTTTTAAGATGATGCTGGCAGAGCAACAGCCTTACAGTTCAAGAGTAACAATGAAAAATGACCAAGTAGGAGTTGAGGGGTTAAACCCACTGACTTCCGTGCACTTCCTCTCCTGAGTAGTGCTATTTGCGTTCTTAAGTATTTAATTTAAAATGACACAGAATGCCCATTCTGGGAATTTTATATTCATGGAAGTGGGGACTGTGGGCTGTAGCCTGCTGTTTGGCAAGCCCTCAGCCCAGATGGGGTTCTACAAGGTGTTTAATCAGATCCTAGAGCAGCACACGACTGCCATGTTTAATTACTCTAATTTAATGGAGCATTCCACAAGATCCGCTTGGTTTGGCATCAATGATTATGGTCGTGGGGAAGAGGGGCAAGGGCCCAGACGCCCAGTCCCAGCTTGTTTCATACACAGCGATGGAGGAGACTCTGCCAGGGCCTGAAGTCTCCATCTGCAGATGTGTATTTACAGCCAGCACTGATTTAGTTGAGGCAATTTACTGAAATGCTACCACTCTGAAGCCCTCTCCTGCACACAGCCTTCCTCATGGCTTTCACTGGGTCACAGTAAGGCTGGGAGAGCAGCTCTTTATTACAAGTCTTCCAACACCACTGCCTAATAGCCTGATTGATGGGTACTGATGGCCAGGACACTGGAAGTCTTACCCTTCATTTTGTTTTTTCACTAACTCAGCTCCAGCTTTGCAGCCAAAGGGTATTTTTGCATGTCAAGGGGGCTCATTATTTTTCATTTGTTCTACTTAAAAAACAGGCTGCTCTGCAAATTTTAGGCAGATCCCTGATATTAAGAGATGAAAAACAAAGATAAATGTTTTTAAGAGTCTGCAGATGCTAAAATTTAATCAAAACATTGTAAGGATTTAAGAGGGCAGTACACTTTTTGGTATTAACATGAACTAGAGAGGACTTGCAGGATTTATGTTTTTGTGTTTTTTAAAAGCAACTTAAAGGTCCCCAAATCTCGTGTGTCAAAATGCAAGAGTGTGACATTTGGGGGTGATGCCCATTTAAACCTTTTATAAAATACATGAGGAGATACTTCCTTTGTACTTGTTTCTGCCTAATTCCTATTACTGAAAGTCAGGAAACTTGCTCTTTGGTTTAATTTGGTTTAATTTATAGGTCAGAAATCAAATGCATTCCTTGGGTCTTGGCAGGTCTCTTACCATTTTCTCTCCTGTTGGTCATAAATACAGTTTCCTCCTACCTGCCCCTAACTGGTGTTAAATAGAACCCATTTAGTTCTATTTTCTTTTTTGGGAGTGAGTAGTATGCCTGACTTGCTTACACTAGAGCTAGGGAAGTGGTTTTAAATGTGTTAAGCACAAAATCCACAGACACTCAAATGAACTGAAATTGTTTCTTACTAACCAGTAATTCAACGGAGAAAAGTGTGTGCAAAAATCTTTATTACTTCTTCCCAGCCCCATACTCAACTTGGAAATTCTAAAGAATAAACACTGGTGTGATTTCAGGGAATCTGAGGCTATTTAATGATCCCCAGAGTTTGACCTGAAAGTAGTGGGCCTTTGTCTCTTAGAAAGATTCACACAAATGTATTTCTTGGTGGGGCAGTGATTGTCATGGTCAAGAGGGTGGCTCTGCCTCAGATGGTGGCTTGTTTCTTGTGACACAATCGTTCCATCCAGTAGAAAACAGTAGAATTAACTCTTAAAGAGGTTATGTTCACAGCTTCTCCACAACTAGAGAATTCATTTGTTGATCAGTCTAAATTGTATGCCAATTCTTTCTCTAAACCACAGATCTAGGTTTCTCAGGCCAATTATTTTATACAAGGAGCAGGTGATTTTCCTATTCAAGCACTCGTCTATTATCATCATTACAGGTCTTTATTATTAATGTTTTTATAGTTATCTTTTTTATTTTTGGATGTGCCAATAAGAAGCTATGTTTTATGGCTTCATGACTTTGAAGGCTAAAAATAATAGGTGATCAAATTCTGCAGTTTAGTGGACTCCCAGAACAGACTCAAAAGATAATTGTCAGCAGCAAAGGCAAAACTGTACTATCAGTCCCCTCAACTGTAACTTAGGTTTCTAATCATAAGCCTTCTCCTAGCTATAGAGAATAGCAGGATAAAAGCCTAAATAACTTTGTCACATACTAAAATGGCCTTAATACATAATAGTTCACTCCATATGGTTAGAAAAACCTGCTTATTCTAAAATAATTTTTTTAGCAGATATATTCCACAAAATATTTGGTTTGTATCCAGTAAGTCATAGCAAGTCAATATGTTTAGTTTTTAAGGGGTACATTTTGTAACAGTGTTCACCAGGACACCAAGTTGTTCAAAACTACATGTACTATGGGAGCACGTAGTTGGTTGGTTGTTGACTGGAAACATGTTTGAAAGAGCTTAACAGACCCAAATCATTTTGGCCCTGTTTTTTGACATGGCCCTTTGGAGATGGACTTGAGAGAGACTATTCATTCCTTTGCTAGTATAGACTGAGAACTGTGTTTTCAAGAAATGTCTTCTGGTTTTGTCGTCATGCCTTCGGAAGATGGAATGGCTTTCCATTCAGCTAGGTTTTGGTCAGATTCCTTTATTTTCTCTAAATGATGTCCACCTTTCCACCTGATTAGTTGCTCTAAAGCAAATGCATACACCCTTGATCAAATACGCAGGAGAGCTGTATTCCAGGCCCTTGCCAGGAGCATAACTGTTTGTTGTTAAGCCTTTACTAAAGGCAAGAGATATTTCTGGAAAACCGTCTGATGAACATGCAGTTCATGGATTCCTTTGAAGTCTAGGGCGTATCCCTGGATCCAACCCTTCCAACTCGTCTCCAACCCAGTTCTGTGGGCTCTATCTCCAAATACATTCTCACGTGTAGCCTACCTACTTCTCTCCACTTTCACTGCCTTACCACAGGCCGTGCCAACACCATCTCTTACCTAGACTGGTCTTCCTCGTGTACTTTGCCTTATGCCTGGCATTGGTAAATTATACTCGTGAGTGGCCTGTTTTTGTGTGGTCTTGCAAGCTAAGAATGACTCTTACCATCTTTAAAGGGTATTA